>NC_000022.11:29315624-29467139 GCF_000001405.40 Homo sapiens | reverse complement strand
CTGTGCAGGATTGTGTGGGTGATTCTCCAGAGGCATAAGACCCAAAAATGTCAAAAGAGTTCTTGATTTAGGAGTCAGAAGACCTGCTCACTAGATCCCATCCCCATTTCTCCCTTTCTTCCACCCTTCTTCTTCCTTCCTTCCTTCCTTCCTTTCTTTCTTTCATTTGTTCATTTGTTCGTTCATTTTAGAGACAGAGACTTGCTGTGTCGCCCAGGCTGGAGTGCAGTGGTGCAATCTCAACTCACTGCAGCCTTGACCTCCTGGGCTCAAGCGATCCACCCACTTCATCCTCAGCTTCCCGAGTAGCTGGGACAACAGGTGCACACCACTATGCCTGGCTAATTTTGTTATTTTTTTATTATTATTTTTTGGTAGAGACACCCCATCTCACCATGTTGCCTGGCTGGTCTCGAACTCCTGGGCTCGAACAGTTCTCCCACCTTGGCCTCTCAAAGTGCTGAGATTACAGGTGTGAGCCACTGCACCTGGGCCTTCCCTCCTTCTGTCTCATCCATTCAACAGACATTTCCTAAGATGTGTTTCAGGCCCCACCCTGCACTGGGAATACAGCCATGAAGAAGACAGGCTCCCAGCTCCCCAGCAAGTTTGGGGCCAATTTTGTAAGAACTGATAGAGGGGGCAAGTCCAGGGGTTGTTAGAGCTTCAAACTGGGGCTCCTGACCCAGCATGTGGTGGGGGGCAAGCTGGGAGTCAGCAGGGGAGTCCTGGCTCAGTGCCTGTGGCCTTGGGTAGGCCACTAGCCTTGCTGAGCCTCAGTTTACCCCCCTCTCCTTGATGGGACCACTTGACAGAATGGGGTGAGGATGGAGGAGATGCGGGCCTGGTGGAGCCTCCTCAAAGGGGATGTGGCTGTGTTTCGGCTCCCATGGAGCCAGGACACCACCCGGGCACCCAGGCTCACAGCACAGTGCTCCCTTTACTTTGTTGGAGCTGGAGCATTTCCCGTTTGAAACAGGCCAGAGGAAGAACACTGGTGAGGAAGTCAGAGATCTGGCCCTGGGCCCCAGGGCTCTGCCTGGCCTCACTGGCCAACCTCAGACACCTTACCGAGGGCCTTAGGTTCCCACCCACACACACAGGAGGCCAGGCTGCCTGATCTTCTATGGACAAATACATATGAGCAGCGGGGGTACCAAGAAAGGTGAGCAGCCAGGGAGAGCCTCCCAAAGGAGGTGGCATAGCTGCAGCCTGAAGGATTGAGAGCAAGAGTGGGGAAATAACTGGATGGGTTCCCTGGTCCCGAAGTGTTTCTGGTAGAACCTCTAGGGGTGATGGAGGAATGTGGGGATGGGGCCCTGGGCTCGGGGAGGAGAGAAGGAGGGTCGGGGAGAGCTGCCCCTTTGCTCCAAGGCTCTCTTAACTGGTGACAAAGAGCAGGCCCTTGGGGCCAGGAAGGCCTCGGTTTGAATCCTTTTTGACATTGCTTCATTAAGGACCCCTAGGTAAGGGTTTCATCTGTCTAAGCTTCATTACTTCCATCTGGGAAATGGGTGATAATCATACCACATTCAAAAGGTTGTTGGCTATTATATGACTTTATTTATATGAAATGTCTAGAATAGGCAAATCTATAGAGACAGAAAATAGATTAGTGGCTACCTAAACCTGAGAGGATAAGGGACTTGGAGAGTGATAGCTAAAGAGTATGAGGTTTCTTTTTGGGATGATGAAAATATTCTTTTTTTCTTTTTCTTTTTCTTTTTTTTTTTTCTTTTGAGACAGAGCTCACTCTGTCACACAGGCTGGAGTGCAGTGTTGCAATCTTGGCTCACTGCAGCCTCCGCCTCCCAGGTTGCAGCAATTCTCCTGCCTCAGCCTCCCAAGTAGCTGGAACTACAGGCTCATGCCACCATGCCTGTCTAATTTTGTATTTTTAGTAGAGACAAGAGTTTCACCATGTTGGCCAGGCTGGTCTCGAACTCCTGACCTCAAGTAATCGGCCTGTTTCAGCCTCCCAAAGTGCCAGGATTACAGGTGTGAGCCACTGTGCCTGGCCTGGGGTGATAAAAATGTTCTAAAATTGATTGTGATGGTTGCACAACTCCATAAACATGGCATTGTTGCTTTAAATGGTTGAGTTGTATGGGATGTGAATTATCTCTCAATAAGGCTGTTATTAAAAAACCAAGAGGTTCAGACGAGATGTTCCACGCTCCCTAAATGTTGGCTGTCACTGGTGTTATTTACTCCTGGCAGCTCTTCCAGCCCTCCTCCAGAGAGGGCTGATAGGTTCCGGGAGAAGGGGAAGGGGCCTGGGCCCCTACTAGCTGGCTAGGGGCCCCAAGCAAGCTACATAACCTCCCTGAGCCTCAGTTTTCTCATCTGTGAAATGGGTGGGGGCGGTTTTCCAGGCCTTGGCCACCTCTTTGGACACTGTGCTGCTCAGATCAGACCATGGGCTTTGCTAGATATAGTTACATGGCCAGTTGTAGAGAAGGGCAGTGGGGGGATTGGATGTTCTCTCCGTCTGCACCCAGAGGGGCTGACTTCACACATCCGCTCATGGTTGCATACCGAGTGTGTTTTGTGAGCAAGGCACCATGCAGGAGATGGAGGAGGGACCGCAAGAGCCTGTGCCCCAGCCTGCCTGGAGCTCAGAGCCCCAGAAAAGGGACACGCAAGGGTTTGCCAGGGCTGATGGGAGCACTGCTGGCTGTGCAGGCCATCATTTCATCACTCTGGCCCTCAGTTACCTCATCTGTAAAAAGGGGAATAAATGGTACCTCCCTGCTAGGGTCGTGCTGAGGCTCACAGTGGCTGGCATAGCATCTCTAGTAAATACACAGGAACCATTGTCGTCACTATGGCTATCAATATCATCAGCCATCAGGTGCCTTTTGTCCCCTCCCCCCCTCCCCTTGGCTAACTTGTCGCATGGTGAATCATGTCAGGGCTAGCTTTCCTGTCTCTGTCCCTGCCCCAGAGCATCAACCAACTTCCAGGGTGGAGCCTGGATGCTCCCTTTTCAGACCCAGCCCACGCACCCAAAGAAGCTGTAGGCTCCTCAGTGAGCCTCGAGCCCCTTTCCTGCCCCCATTTCTTCAGGCCCAGCTGCAGAAGGCATGACCCTCTGGCCAGCCCGAGACTGAAGCCTCCCTCCTGTCCTGTCCTCTCCTTCCACCTGGCTGCAGGGTAAGGTCAACAGGCCACCCCCAGCCAGCCTTTCTGGGCGTTCTACTCTCTCTGCGGCGAGAGCCAGTTGAGCCCAACTCAGAATCTCCTCCCGCATTCCTCCACCTGCAGAGCCGCAGCAGGGCTGGGGACCTGGCCTGGGCCTCCACAGCCTCTGCAGCATCCCTGTCACTGTGGTGGGCGAAGGGCCCAGATGGGGGGCAGGCATCCCTGCTGGATGCTAGTCCCTGCTCCTGACCAGTAGCCGCAGTGCCTGATTTATGGCTCCCTCTGGGCTCTCTCCAGCAAAACTGCTTGCAAACCACTCCTGGCCTGTTCTTTTCTGGGTCCTGGTTTGCAGACAGGTTGCCTCAGGCCACAGCCTGCAGCCCCACCCCACCACACCCCCAGTCCCCAACCACCAGGCACCTGGGACATCAGGGCAGGTTGTGCCTTGAGAAGAAGGACAAAGTTCCATCCCAGCCCTGCCATGGGTGGGCTGGATGGCCTAAAGTGGCTTATGGAACCTCTCTGGGCCTCAGGTTTGCTGTTTGCACATTGAATGATCTTGAAGGTATCCTCACTGATACCCATGCTTCTGAGTTTCCTTCACATGGCCCCACCGCCTCCCAAGTCTTTTGCCTTGGAACTGAGTCTCCTTTTTTTTTTTTTTTTTTTTGAGATGGCGTCTTGCTTTGTTGCGTAGGCTGGAGTGCAGTGGCACAATCTTTGTTCACTACAACCTCCGCCTCCTGGGTTCAAGAGATTCTCCTGCCTCAGCCTCCCAAGTAGCTGGGATTACAGGCGTGTACTACCATGCCTGGCTGATTTTTGTATTTTTAGTAGAGAGGGGCTTTCGCCATGTTGGCCAGGCTGGTCTTGAACTCCTCACCTCAAGTAATCCGCCCACCTCAGCCTCCCAAAGTGCTGGGATTACAGGTGTGAACCACCATGTCTGGCCTGGAACTGGGCCTTCCATGTGTCTAAATGGAGACCCCAGCAACCAGGCCAGGTGAGCAAGAAAGAACTAGGCCTGGGTGGGTGATGGGTACTGGAGACACCCATCTTTGGAGCCCCACAGCCTTGGGCAGGACCGCTGGCTTTTTCCAGGCCACTCTCTTGCCTCCCTGAGCCCCATCCATAAAATAGGGAGAGTCGGACCTGAGCTATTGCAGGTGGATCCCTGTGCTAGACACAGCTTGAGCGGGTGACAATAAATATGGGTCTCTTTTCCCTTCAAGGCCTGGCTCAGCATCCTCAAGCCTGGTTCCCAGGGGCTGCCAAGTCCAGGCCACTGCAGACAGTGGGAGCATGGGCTGTGGGTGGGCATTTTGTGGCCAGCGTGGGGGTGGGGGTGGCGGTCATCACTGTGCCTCCAGGTCATCTGTCTGATCCATGAGCAGGAAGTGGGGAGGCCACAGTGGTCCCCAACACTGGGTGTCTGCAAGGAGGGCGTGGAACTGTCGAGAGCTTGGTGGCCTGTTTGCTCATGTGTGCATCCACTCAGACATATTTAGTCAGCATCATCTTCTTCTTCTTTTTTTTTTTTTCTTTTGAGACGGAGTTTCACTCTTGTCACCCAGGCTGGGTCTCAGCTCACTGTAACCTCTGCCTCCTGGGTTCAAGCGATTCTCCTGCCTCAGCCTCCCAAGTAGCTGGGACTACAGGTGCACGCCACCATGCCCGGCTAATTTTGTATTTTTAGTAGAGATGGGGTTTCACCATGTTGGCCAGGCTGGTCTTGAACTCCTGACCTTAGGTGAACCACCTACCTCGGGCTCCCAAAGTGCTAGGATTACAGGTGTGAGCCACCGCACCTGGCCTAGCCAGCATCTTCCTGATGGCCACTCTGCACCTGGGTCTGCAGAGGACCGTTCTAAGCACCTTACATGCATTAACTTGCTTTTATCCTCACGACAACCCTACAGGGTAAGCACTGGTCACATCATTTTTGCTCAAGGTAACACAGCTGATAAATGGTAGAATCAGGGTCTGAAGCCGGGCCATCCTTTCAAGTCCATGGCAAACGCCTTTTCTCAGCTTCGCACTGCCCTCAGCACCAGCCTGCTTCCTGCTCATCTGGAAGCAGCATTGCATCCCCGCTCTGGCCTTCGCTCTTGCTGCTCACCGCACCGCCCCCTTTCCTGACTCCCTTTCTCCTCTGATTGAACAACAAACTGATAGCCTTCTAGACTCAGCTGTATGGCTGGGTGCAGTGGCTCATACCTGTAATCTCAGCATTTTAGGAGCCTGAGGTGGGAGGATCACTTGAGGTCAGGAGTTCAAGACCAGCCCGGGCAACATGATTGAAACCCTGTCTCTACAAAAAGTACAAAAATTAGCCAGGTGTGGTGGTCAGCGTCTGTAGTCCCAGCTACTCAGGAGGGTGAGGCAGGAGGATTACTTGAGCCTGGGAGGTCAGGCTGTAGTGAGCCGAGATTGCACCAGTGTACTCCAGCCTGGGCAGCGACAGTGAAACCCTGTCTTGAAAAATAAAAAAATAAGACTCAGCTGTGGCATCACCTCCTCCAGGAAGCCTTCCTTGATGCCCTTCCTGTCCCAGGCTGAATTAGGCTCCTCCACTGGCCTCTCTCAGTTTCCCCTGTCCGGCACTCATCCATCTTGTTGCAAGCATCTGTTCATGTGTTTACCTCCTCTACCAGACTGTAAGCCCCTCGTCCTCACCTTGACACCCACTGTGCCTGGCACCATTTGTGGTACAGAGGAGATCACTGGGGAATTTTGAAGGGCCAAATCTTTTTTTTTTTTTTTTGAGATAGAGTTTTGCTCTTGTTGCCCAGGCTGGAGCGCAATGGCACAATCTCAGCTCACCACAACCACCGCCTCCCGGGGTTCAAGTGATTCTCCCACCTCAGCCTCCCGAGTAGCTGGGATTACAGGCATGCGCCACCACAGCTGGCTAATTTTGTATTTTTAGTAGAGACAAGGTTTCTCCATGTTGGTCAGGCTGGTCTCAAACTCCCAAACTCAGGTGATCCACCCGCCTCAGCCTCCCAAAGTGGTGGGATTACAGGCGTGAGCCACCATGCCCGGCCTTTTTTTTTTTTTTTTTTTTTAATGGAGTCTTGCTCTGTTTCCCCGGGCTGGAGTGGCATGATCTTGGCTCACTGCAACCTCTGCCTCCTGGGTTCAAGCAATCCCCCCACCTCAGCCTCCTGAGTAGGTGGGATCATAGATGTGTGCCAGCATGCCCAGCTAATTTTTTATATTTTTAGTAGAGACAGGGTTTTGCCATGTTGGCCAGGCTGGTCTCGAACTCCTGACCTCAAGTGATCTGTCTGCCTCAGCCTCCGAAAGTGCTAGGATTACAGGCATGAGCCACCATGCCTGGTCAGATGACCAAATCTTGATCGTTCGTAACCTTGTGAATAGTGGACAAGTTCTAGTATCTGTTTCACAGAGGAGGAAACTGAGGCACAGAGAGGTGACATGATTTTCGCAACTCACAGAGCTAGTGGTGACAGAGCTGGCATTTGTTGGAATGGCCTCCATTTCAGAACAAGCTCCTAGAAGGGTTTACCAAACCAGGGCTTAAATTTTTTGAATTATTTATTAATGGCTCAAAAGTCTGAAGGCGCGAAGGGTAGACAGTGAAAAATCTCCCTTCTCTTCTGTCCCCAGCCACCCAAATCCTCCTAGGGAAGCAGCCGGGGTGATCTGATTCTCAGGTGTCCTTCTCAGCAGTGTGTGTGTTCCCAGACAAACCCAGCATGTGTTATTTAGAACCAGGTTTAAACCCAGGCCTGTGGGATGCCCATCTCACCTGGGGCTGCTCAGGGCTTGGGACAGGGTCCACCATGTCCTGGCAAAGATATCGGGCCACCAGAGGCCTCCATCTCCCCATCTGGGGTCCCCTCCCTGTCCCAGGTCCCCTCCGGCTGTTGCTGTGCCTCCTCAACGGAGCTGCCTGCCTGGATCTGCTCCCCAGGCTGCAGCAGAGGCTGGGCTCAGGCCCACAGCCCGGCAGGGCTACAATGGTGAAGGGCTGCTTTGGGCTGAGGGGGCCTCCCTTCAGGCAGTCTGACACTTGCTTTCATTATTCCTCACAGAACGGGCCCAGTGTGGGGAAACAAGCCCAGCAAAGGCAGGGGCCAGAGTGAGGAGGCACTGGGCAGGCGGGGCACACAGGGCACATCACGGCAGGGCAGGGCAGGGATGCTGGCTCCACCCCTTTCTGCTGGGAACCGAGTGGGCATAATAGCTCCCCGAGCAGCCTCTTTTCTCTGAAGATTAAGAGACAGTACCTGGAATTGCTTGGAGAATGCAGTAAGCGCTCCAGAAGTGGTGACTGGAGTGTTATAGTTAGGGAGGCTCCGGGCTTTTCCACCACCCTAGACTTCCCTGTGACCCCTGAAAAGCAGAGACACAAGACCCTTGGGGCCTGTGCTCAGGGCTCTGACCCAGTCCCTTCCCCTGTGTGCATAAATATTTGGGGGATTGTTGTTGTTACTCTTTTTTTTTTTTTTTCTTGAGACAGAGTTTCGCTCTTGTTGCCCAGGTTAAGGTGCAGTGGCACAATCTCGTCTCACCGCAACTTCTGCCTCCCAGGTTCAAGCAATTCTCCTGCCTCAGCCTCCTGAGTAGCTGGGATTACAGGCATGTGCCACCACGCCCAGCTATTTTTTTGTATTTTGCATAGAGACAGCGTTTCACCGTGTTAGCCAGGATGGTCTTGATCTCCCAACCTCAGGTGATCCGCCCACCTTGGCCTCCCAAAGTGCTGGGATTACAGGCGTGAGCCACCACGCCCAGCCCTGTTGTTGTTACTCTTATTGGTGTCCAGTCTTATGATGTCCAATAGGAAACCAGGACTCCCACCTCCACCCTGTTGCCCAGGGTAGCTTTGGTGGAGGGCAGGGCAGCAGTGAATATGTGCACAGGTTTGGAGGGTGGGGAGGAGGCTACCAGGAGGCTGGGTGGGGCACAGACAGAGCACAGGGCTAGGAACCAGGCCTTTGGGGTTCCCCTCTTACATAGGAGCCCTGGGTCTGCCTGAATCCAGTTCCCTCCTCTATGAAATTAGGGTGATCATCCCTCTCCCCATTAACTTCATGGGATTTGGGATGCTCTGGGGAGAGAATGCATGAGAGAATCTTTGCCTTGAACTCCTGGCCTCAAGTGATCCTCCTGCTTCAGCCTCTTAAACTGTAGGGATTACTGGGATTACAGGCATGAGCTACTGCACCTGGCTGGGGATCTTTGCCATCTGCAAATCAGAGGTGGCAAGCAGGCATCCACAGGCCTGCAGAACCACAGAGGACATTAAAGGGATTTGATTTGGAAATAGTAGTAATGATTGTGCAATATTTTGAATATAATTAATACCACTGGCCTGTACACTTAAAATGGTAAAAATGGGCAGTTTTGTGTATAGATTTTTTTTCTTTTCCTTGCCCATCTTTTTTTTTTTTTTTTTTTTTTTTTTTTGAGACAGGGTCTTGCTCTGTAAGCCCAGGCTGGCATGCAGTGGTGTGATCTTGGCTCATGGCAACCTCTGCCTCCCGGGTTCAAGTAATTCTCCTGCCTTAGCCTCCCAAGTAGCTGGGATCACAGGCATGCACCACCACACCCGGCTAATTTTTGTATTTTTAGTAGAGATGAGGTTTCGCCATGTTGGCCAGGCTGGTCTCGAACTCCTGACCTCAAGTGATCCACAGGCGTCGGCCTCCCAAAGTGCTGGGATTACAGGCGTGAGCCACCATGCCCGGCCTTACACAGCCATTTTAAATATGGAAAAAAAAAAAGAGGATTTGAGTTAGTTGCCCTATCAGTCAGAAAAACAGAACCCACTTTAGGGGGTCCAATGGGGGAAATTTTGGAAAGCCAAACAGGAGGCTGGACAGAGGTGGGTTACCCAAACCCATGGCCTGGGACCACAGAGGTCTATCTGGAGGGAATTGTAAGTTTGGAGAAGACCCAGCCACTGCCCAAAGGCTGGAAAAACCCGGGCCTCTTCTATCTGCCAGTCTCCCTTCAGTGCCTCCCATTGGCTGGACCTAATCAACGCCGGTTTGCAAAGGAGCTTGGGAAATGTAGTTTGAAGGGTTAGTTCCCCCACCTTTCCAGATGGTGAGCAGAGGAGGGACAGCAAATGGATGTGAAATCATACAGCAGGCAGGGCATGGTGGCTCATGCCTGAAATCCCAGCACTTTGGGAGGCCAAGGCGGGAAGATGACTTGAGGCCAGGAGTTTGAGACCAGCCTGGGCAATATAACAAGACCCTCATCTCTACAAAAAATTTTAAAAAATTAGCCAGGCATGGTGGCACACACCTGTAATCCCAGCTACTAGGAGGCTGAGGTGGAGAATGGCTTAAGCCCAGAATTCGAAGCTTCAGTGAGCTATGATCGCACCACCGCACTCCAGCCTGGGTGACAGAGCAAGACCCTGTCTCTTAAAAAAAAAAGAAAAAACATCATATGGCAAATGAGGGTTATAGTTGTCAACATGAAATGACTGGGCGATTTAGCATAAAAATCTGGATTTATAGATTCTCCTGAAACACCAAAGGCTCCACTCCCTTGAGTCCAACATCTTAGCCTAGTTTTGCTGTTTACATTGTCCTTGGGGAGCCCTGCTGAGGAGTCCTGAGAAGCCTACAGGGTGAGGGGCATGAGGGGACCCCATATCCTTCAGGGTGGGATCAGAGGAGGAGAAGCCATGAGGACCCTGAGGCAGGTGGGCTGAGCAGGCAGGGCCAGGGGATCCAATGGGGCCATCAGTTTCTAGAGAGAGCACATTGGGGATCTGGAACTGTGGGGACCTTCCTATTGTTGCTTTTGTGTGTGTGTGTGTGAGACAGTCTTGCTCTGTCACCCAGGCTGGAGTGCCGTGGTGCGATCTCAGCTCACTGCAACCT
This sequence comes from Homo sapiens, assembly GCF_000001405.40. NCBI lineage: Eukaryota > Metazoa > Chordata > Mammalia > Primates > Hominidae > Homo > Homo sapiens. Next base: position 29,457,123 of record NC_000022.11, on the reverse strand, counting down.
CTGCCTCCCAGGTTCAAGCAGTTCTTTGCCTCAGCTTCCCGAGTAGCTGGGACTACAGGCGCCTGCCACCACTCCCAGCTAATTTTTGTATTTTTAGTAGAGATGGGGTTTCACTATCTTGGCCAGGCTGGTCTTGAACTCCTGACCTCGTGATCCACACGCCTCGGCCTCCCAAAGTGCTGAGATTATAGGCGTGAGCCACCACGCCTATTGTAGCTTTTAGAGACTGTCTGGTCTTAACGCAACTGTGAGGGTTGTGTTTGTTCATTTTAGTTATCTTTCTGACACTGTCAGGCCCTGTGTTCTAAATTTTCCAGGAAAGCCCAACGTGTAAACTGATGACAGACTATCCTGGAGGAAGAGGTGGGGCAGCCTGGAGTTTTCCTCTGGACATCCTGAGAGGGATACTGAAGCACTCAGGAGGGGTCTTAGACCTGCCCAAGCTCACTCACACAGTTTGAGAAGAGCTGCGCTTAGACCACAGGCCTCTTGGCTCCTGGGAAGCTGAGAGCATCGGCGTGGGAGTTCGTCAGACAGGGGCAAGTTCCAACCGCAGCTCAGTGACCTCAGACAAGCCCCCTCACCTCGCAGAACCAGGTTCTTCTTCAGAGTTGTAGGAAGGAGTGGAGGAGGGTCTCCGCATGTCAGATGTCCACACAGTGCCTGGGAGCTGAGGTTGTCATGGTTACCAAGAGGCCAGTCTCAGGGCTGCTGTGATGACCTGGGCTGCTCTCCCATTCCCAAGAAGGGGAGAACTCCTCAGATTCCCTACTCTGCTCTTCTTGCTCCCTCCCAAGCAATACATGAGCAGGAATTTGTCCTCTGCAGGAATGTGCAGCGAGAAAGTCTCCTTTTTTGATGAGACAGCGATGAGGTGATGTCTGGTTTTTTATATCCTCACTTGCTGAACTGGTGCCAGATGTAAGAGTCCAGGCTGGATTCCATTAGCCATATTTGTCCTCTGGGCTCCCAGCCCTGCAGGACCTTCTGGGGGCCCACCTTGAGACCCTCCAGTTGGTAAGAAGTTGGCTGGGGCAAATGATGCAGCCCTAAGACGAACCATTTCCACTGGGGACTCAGGCAGGGTCCCTGAGAGCCTGACTTACTCGAGTCTTTTCTTTAAAAATTAAAAAAACAAGGCTGGGCGCGGTGGCTCACGCCTGTAATCCCAGCACTTTGGGAGGCCGAGGCGAGTGGATCACGAGGTCAGGAGATTGAGCCCATCCTGGCTAACATGGTGAAACCCCTTCTCTACTAAAAATACAAAAAATTAGTCGGGCATGGTGGTGGGCACCTGTAGTCCCAGCTACTCAGGAGGCTGAGGCAGGAGAATGGCGTGAACCCGGGAGGTGGAGGTTGCAGTGAGCCGAGATCGCACCACTGCACTCCAGCCTGGGCAACACCGTGAGACGCCATCTCAAAAAAAAAAAAAAATTAACAAAACACATTGATCTTTTTTTTTTATTTTTACCGAAGTAAGAAACCCTTTGAAGTTTAGGAGCTGCAACTAATCCACGTTGAAGGCTAATCGGAGGCCTAGATAGGTTAATACCTTTCCCAGAGGAACCCAGTGGTAAATGTAAATGTCAGATTGATCAATTGTAGATTGAACTTCAGAAGCTGGAGTCCTCATTACTATTCTGGGGTGATGGTCGACTCTATTTGCTCAACAGAAGGATCAGTGGCCTGGAGAATTTGAGATAGTTGGTGATAACATTATAGGATTCTATTTTAAATGGGAAAGAAATTCCTAAAAGTTAAACGCATGTTAAAAAAAACTATATTAAGGCCGGGTACAGTGGCTCTTGCCTGTAATCCCAGCACTCTGGGAAGCCGAGGTGGGAGGATCGCTTGAGCCTAGGAGTTCCAGATTAGCCTGGGCAACACAGTGAGACCCCATCTCTAAAAAAAAGAACAAAATTAGCTGGCATGTCATTGTGCACTTGTAGTCTCAGCTCCTTGGGAGGCTGAGGTGGGAGGATTGCTTGAGCACAGAAGGGTGAGGCTGCAGTGAACTGTGATCACACCACTGTGCTCCAGCCTGGGTGACAGAACAATACCTTGTCTCAAAAATAAAAAAATTCATATACAAAAATGCCTGAGGTATACAATGAAAGCTCTTGAAAGCCACTGTCTACAGATAAGCATTAGAGCCACTTACACAGATTTTTTCAGATTTTTCTATGCATTTATATGTTAAAATTTATATTTTTAAAAGATTAACACTATACATTCTGTTTTGCAGTTTGCTTTTGCAAATAGCAGTAGCTCCTGAAATGTGGAAATTCTTTACCTGGCTGATTCATGACAAACTTGGTGGGAGAAGTAGCTGGTAAAGTTTTATGCAAAATTGTGTGTTGTGTGTATGTGAGCATTCTTTAGAAATAGTGACTATGATTCTCATCAGAATCTTAGGAAAGATTCAGACCCAAGACCCTTGATTTCAGATGGGGAAGGGACTCAGTCCTCGGGCTGGCCTTGAAGGATGAGGACAAGAATGCTGCAGTCGCCTGGCCCTGGGCATCCTGCCCTGGCCTTGGAGAGGAGCTGCATTCTGCAGAGCCAGAAGGAGGACAAGAGAGGCAGCCTGCCCAAGCACCAGGCTGAGCCTCTGCAGTCCCTGCCAGGAGAAGACTTACAGCCGCCGGGAGCTTGGGAAGGTTACAGAGAAAAAGCCTCTCGCAGCACTTGGGAGGACACTGCCTGCAGCACCGCGCCTGCTGTGGGCCTGCTCCAGGGTCAGGGAAGCCTCTGAGGGACAGGCTTGGGGCACAAGGGTGGGTGAGGGGCAGGGGAGAGAGTGTACTCTCTGGGCCAGGACCCCGGCACACCTAGCACACAGACCATGGGGAGGGTGCCAAACACAGGACTTGGCTACATTTTGTTACTGTCACTTTGAGTATTACCTGTGCAATCGAGCAGGCTTTATGGATCTCAGACTGCCCAGGACTTTTCTGGCTGCTATGGGAGGATGTAAGATTTACCAAGAACACCAGCCACCACCCAGAAAGCAGGTTTCTCATGTGAGCCCTGCGCCAAGCACTGTATGTGCACATGCCAGATTTTAATTTGCTGTGGGGAGGTGCTTTTATACTCGCCACTTGACAGTGGCCCCCAAAAAGCCAAGAAACCTGTCCAAGGCCCATGGGATCAGCAGGTGTTGATTTAATACTGGTACCCCCAGTTGCAGAGTCCCCAGCCTCAACCATAGGCACTCTCCTCTGCCCCCCGGGGAGGGACTGCCACCCTGACTCAGGGATGACCTCTGCGAGATGAGAGCAGAGGGGTTTTGTTCTGTTTCAACCTTTTTTGTTGTTTGTTTTTGAGACGGAGTTTTTGCTGTGTTGCCCAGGCTGGAGTGCAGTGGTGCAATCTCAGCTCACTGCAGCCTCCACCTCCTGGGTTTAAGCAATTCTCCTGCCTCAGCCTCCTGAGTAGCTGGGATTACAGATGCATCTCACCATACCCAGCTAATTTTTTGTGTTTTTAGTAGAGATGGGGTTTCACCATGTTGGCCAGGCTGGTCTCAAACTCCTGACCTCAGGTGATCCACCCACCTCGACCTCCCAAAGTGCTAGGATTACAAGTGTGAGCCACTGAGCCCGGCCTCAACCTTTTTTTATTATTATTTTTTGAGATGGAGTCTCACTCCATCGCTAGGCTGGAGTGCAGTGGCACAATCTCGGCTCACTGCAACCTCCACCTCCTGGGTTCAAGTGATTCTCCTGCCTCAGCCTCCTGAGTAGCTGGGACTACAGGCGCCCGCCACTACACCCGGCTAATTTTTTGTACTTTTAGTAGAGATGGGGTTTCACCATGTTGGCCAGGATGGTCTCAATCTCCTGACCTCGTGATCCACTCACCTCAGCCTCCCAAAGTGCTGGTATTACAGGTGTGAGCCATCGCGCTTGGCTTTTTTTTTTTTTTTTTTTTAAACCACAAGCATGTGTCACTTTTATAGTTAAGAGGAAAAACAAACTTTTTCTAAAAATCTGTATTTCTGAAATGGTTAGCAGGAGCCCAGCTGAGTCTGGGGTGCTGCAGGCCTCCTGCCTGTGGGGACCTCTCCTAGGCACCTCCTTTCTTAGACCCATCCTTAGGGCTGGGAGAAACTCCTTCCACAGTGTTCTTGGCTTCAAAGCAGGGCAGGCTTCCCAGATGGGGAAGCTCATAGGCTGGTGGGGGTGAGGTGCGGTGGGGAGCGGCAGAGAGACCTTCCAGGCCAGGTGTCCAGCCTAGAAAAAGGCTCAGAAGTGTGCATGAGTGTGAGCTGTTGTTGGGAATAAGAAGATTGTCCCAGGAGGGCCCAGTATGCACTAGAGGCTTATAAGTAATACTGCTGGGGGCCAGGTGTGGTGGCACGCACCTGTAATCCCAGCGCTTTGGGAGGCCAAGGTGGGCAGATCACCTGAGGTCAGGAGTTCGAGACCAGCCTGGCCAACATGGTGAAATCCTGTCTCTACTAAAAATACAAAAATTAGCCAGGCGTGGTGGTGGGAGCCTGTAATGCCAGCTATTTAGGAGGCTGAGATATGAGAATCACTTGAACCCAGGAGGCAGAGGTTTCAGTGAGCTGAGATTACACTGCTGCACTCCAGCCTGGGTGACAGAGTGAGACTCCTCAAAAAAAACAACAACAACAACAACAAAAAGAAATAGGCCGGGCATGGTGGCTCATACCTATAATCCCAGCACTTTGGGAGGCCGAGGTGGGTGGATAACCTGAGGTCAGGAGTTCGAGACCAGCCTGGCCAACATGTTGAAACCCTGTCTCTACTAAAAATACAAAAATTAGGCAGGCGTGGTGGCACGCACCTGTAGTCCCAGCTACTCAGTGGGCTGAGGCATGAGAATCGCTTGAACCCAGGAGGCGGAGATTGCAGTGAGCTGAGATCGTGCCACTGCACTCCAGCTTGGGCAACAGAGCAAGACTCTGTCAAAAAAAAAAAAGAGAAAGAGAAAAGAAAGAAAAAAGAATGAAAGAAAGAGAAAAAGAAAGAAAGAAAAAGAGAAAAGAAAAGGAAGGGAGAAAGAAGAAAGAAAGAAAAAGAGAAAAGAAGAAAAGGAAGGAAGAGAGAGAAAGAAGAAAGAAAGAAAGAGAAAAAAGAGAAAAGAGAAATACTGCTGGGCACCTGGGTGAGATGGCAGAGATGGCATGCGCTATAGTCCCAGCTACTCAGGAGTCTGGATGGGAGGGTCACTTGAGCCCAGGAGTTCGAGGTTAAAGTGACCTATGATCTTGCCTGGGTGGCACAGTGAGACTCTTTCTCTAAAAAAAGAGGAAGAAAAAGAAAGCAATCTTGCTCTGCATCTGTAGTTCTTGGGGGTGTCTCTTTATTCTCACCTGTCCATGCATTCATGGTGTCCAGGCCTAGGACCCAGAGTGACTTGACTTGATGGAGCCTTAATTGTCTCACCTAGAAACTGAGGATGCAGAAATGGCTTCCTGAGGGGCTGAAGGTATTCTGTGACTGTCAAGGGCTGTGCCAATATCAGATATTATTTCTTGGATTCACATGAAGCTGGGCATACAGTAGGTACTTTTTATTTATTTTTTTTTTTTGGTTATTTTTTTTTTTTGAGACAGAGTCTTGCTCTGTAGCCCAGGCTGGAGTGCAGTGGCATGGTCTCAGCTTACTGCAACCTCCACCTCCCAGGTTCAAGAGATTCTCCTGCCTTGACTTCCTGAGTAGCTGGAACTACAGGTGCATGCCAGCACGCCCAGCTAATCTTTGTATTTTTAGTAGAGACAGGGTTTCACCATGTTGGCCAGGCTGGTCTGGAACTCCTGATCTCAAGTGATCCACCCGCCTCGGCCTCCCAAAGTGCTGGGATTATAGGCTGGTCTTGAACCCCTGACCTCAAGTGATCCACCCTCTTCGGCTTCCCAAAGTGCTGGGATTACAGGCCTGAGCCACCGCACTCTGCCAAATATTTTTAAAACTTTTTTTTTTCCTTCTTTATGTTTATTGTGGATGATTTAGGAAATGTATATAAGCAAAAAAAAGAATATAGATGTTATCCATGATCCCACTCCTGCTAACATGTGGGCCTGTGTTTGTGTGTACTTAACAAAACTGGAATTACACTGCATGGTCTCGGCTTTTATGTATTAATTTTTTTTTGAGACAGGATCTTACTGTGTTGCTCAGGCTGGAGTGCAGTGGTGTGATCTCGGCTCACTGCAGCCTCTGCCTCCCAGGCTCAAGGTATCCTCCCACCATAGCCTCCCAAGTAGCTGGGACTATAGGCACATGCCACTACGCCCAGCTAATTTTTTGTAAAGATGAGGTCTCCCTGTGTTGCCCAGGCTGGTCTTGAACTCCTGGGCTCAAGCAGTCCGCCCACCTCAGCCTCCTAAAGTGCTGGGTTTACAGGCATGAGCCACCACACCCGGCCTATTTATTAATTTTTTAAAATTGAAGTAAAATTCATATATCATGAAAGTACTCATTGTAAAGTGTACAACTCTATGGCATTGAGGACATTTATAACATTTTGGAACCATCACCTCCCTAGTTGTGAAACATTTTCATCACCCCAAAGGAACCCTGTTCCCGTTAGCAGCCACTTCCCACCCTCTGTTCCCCACTCCCTGGCAATGGGCTTCCTGTCTCTATGGATTTACCTACTTCGGGCATTTCATATGAATGGGATCACACAATATTTGTCCTTTGTGTCTGGCTTCCTTCGCTTTGCATAATGCCCTCTAGGCTCATCCGTGTTGTCACATGTGTCAGTGCTTTATTCCTTCGCAAGGCTGAATAATCCTCTGTTTGTCCGGATAGACCACATTGTGTCCATTTATTAGTTGACGGGTATTTGAGTTGTTTCCACGTTTTGGATGTTGTATGTAAAGTTTTCAAACCTACTTTTTTCTTTTCTGTTCTTTTCTTTTTTTTTTTGAAACAGAGTCTCTCACTGTCTCCCAGGCTGGAGTGCAGTGGCGAGATCTCGGCTCACTGAAACCTCCACCTCCCGGGTTCAAGCCATTCTCCTGCCTCAGCCTCTTGAGTAGCTGGGATTACAGGTGCCCACCACGACGCCCGGCTAATTTTTTGTATTGTTAGTAGAGACAGGGTTTCACCATTTTGGCCAGGCTGGTCTCGAACTCCTGACCTCATTATCTGCCCGCCTCGGCCTCCCAAAGTGCTGGGATTACAGGCATGAGCCACCACACCCGGCCCTTTTTTCTTTTCTTAACAACGATGTGTGGCGAACATCTCTTCGTGCTAGTAAACCATGTTTATATCCTTGCATTTCAGGCATATACCCATCTGCTGTGTGGCTGGACCATGTGGGTAAACTCTCCGGAGGCCTGCGTGAGCTAAGGGGGATGCTCCATCCCATGCGCAGTGGAGCCTGCCTCCATGGGCCCTGCTGGCCTTCATGGCACCACCTCTCCCATAGACATCAGAGCTCCGATGCCAGCGCTTCCCCCCACAGACCCACTCGGTGGTGCCCAGCCAGGCTACCCTGCACAGCATCCCACTCATCTATGCCAGAGTGATGGCTGCTCAGCTAGCCACGAGAGGGTAGCACACCCTCTGCCCATCCTGCAACATGTCTGAAGCCCACTTAGACCCCTTCATCCCATGGACACTACATTAAGCACATGCACAAGCACCTGGGCTTCAGGTAAGAGCTACCTGGCCGCCTGCCCACCAATCCCCTGGAGCCAGCCTGTGCTGCCTTCCTGCCTGAGGCTAACCTCTTCGTGCCCTGCATGTGGGGATACCCGGAGATCCTGGTACTAATTTTTTTTTTTTTTTTTGAGATGGAGTCTTGCTCTGTTGCCCAGGTTGGAGTGCAGTGGCGTGATCTTGGCTCACTGCAAGCTCTTACTCCCAGGTTCATGCCATTCTCCTGCCTCAGCCTCCCGAGTAGCTGGGACTACAGGTACCCACCACCACACCTGCCTAATTTTTGTATTTTTAGTAGAGATGGGGTTTCACCATGTTGGCCAGGTTGGTCTCGAACACCTGACCTCAGGTGATCCACCTGCCTTGGCCTCCTAAAGTGGTGGGATTACAGGTGCGAGTCACGGCACCTAGCCCCTGGTACTAATTCTTATTGTTCTCCCTCAAAACCTTGAGAAGTAGGCACCAACCCAGTGATGATAGAGTTACTAATAACAGCAGCTCAGGCGTACTGAGAGCTCACACCCTATTGGGCTCTTCACATGCATCGGCCCAGGAAGCCTTCCCTGCAACTTTGCCTCTAGGTTCTGTTATTACCCCCAATTTACAGATGGGGAAACTGAGACACAGAGAAGTAAGTATTGTGGGCCTATATCACAGGACTCCAGAGTGGCAGGGCCTGCCTCTACTTGGTGATGTGTGTGGGGACACTGCAAGCAGTTCAGTGTGGTGGGGCCAACTGTCTTCATCATGGTGGGACTGGCTCCAGGAGGGATGGTGGAGATATGAAGCCAGATGGGGCACAGGGCTGTGTTCTGAGGGGCCTTGAGGCCTCAGAGAGGGCTTTGCACTTTATCCAGGGATTTCAGCGGGTCGTAAGCAGGAGGGGCATCTGGTTGGGGCTCTACTGGAAGGCTCATTGCTTTGGCCAGGAAGATGGGGAGGCTGGTGGCAAAGAAGCCCGTTGGAGGCTGTTAATGCCACCCAGGCCAGGGAGGCAGGGCCCAGGTGAGCCAGTGACAGGAGTGAAGGAGAGAGGGTGCCAGGGTAGAGAGAGCTGAAGGGGCAGTGGCAGCGCTGGGTAGCCCTGGGTAGCTCAGCACATTTTTGGGGGTTGAAATGCATTAGATATTTTCAAAAGGTGGTTTATAATCAAATCAAATAAAATAAAATAAAAAGAAATGCATCAGATAGAGCCTGGCATGGGACTGGTGAGCAGTCAGGAAGTCCAGCTCAACCCTCTAGCAGGAGCCAAGCGTATACTCAGAATTCATCTCAGCAGGCATTCCAGGGGGTGTCTGAGCGCATCCCAAAGTGTGTACATTTGTCCACCTGTAGCTCCCACGGTGGGTCCACCACAGGCATTTCTGAGTCCTGACCACCCTGAGCTGCTGTTTTTTCACCATTTCTTTGTTCAGCTCACCTGTCATTATCCGTTCTCAAAACCAGATCCTGAGCTTCCAACCACTAAGACAGGAGCATAGCTCACACCTGTGATCCCAGTACTTTGGGAGGCTGAGGCAGGCAGATCACGAGATGAAGAACCAGCCTGGGCAACATAGCAAGACCCTGTCTTTACAAAAAATAATAAAATTAGCAGGAGGATCAGTCGAGCCCAGGAGTTCAAGGCTGCAGTGAGCTATGACCATGCCACTGTTCTCCAGCCTGGGTGGGTGACAGAGTGGTCTCTAAAAAAAAAGAGCACACAGTGACATGGGAGGGCCAGGTACACATAGCTTAGGAGTGGCTGTTAAAAGCCAGAAAAGAGCCTTACAGATGCAGGTTCGAGTCCCTGCTCCACCCCTTACTAACCCCATCATTAAAATGTTTACCAAGCACATATTATTAAATTGCGCCCCATTGTGAGCAGTGTGATGAAATCTCCAGCTGACTGGGGTGTGAATCCTCCCTTTGTCCAATGTACCCACGCTATTTTTCACTACCCCATAATCACGTAGTAGCCCTCCCAGTTATCAAATCAACCATCACAGTTTTGCAGTGCTTGTGTTCAAGAAATCCTTATCTGACTTAACTATAGCCCCAAAGAGCAAGATTCGTGATGCTGGCAATTCAGATATGCCAAAGAGAAGTTGTGAAGCGCTTCCTTTAAATGAAAAGATAAAAGTTCTCAATAAGAAAAGAAGAAAATCGCCGGGTACAGTGGCTCCAGCCTATAATCCCAGCACTTTGGGAGGCTGAGGTGGGTGGATCACCTGACATCAGGAGTTCAAGACCAGCCTTGCCAACATGGTGAAACCCCATCTCTACTGAAAAATGCAAAAATTAGGCTGGGCACGGTGGCTCACTCCTGTAATCCCAGCACTTTCTGGGGTGAAGGTGGGTGGATCACGAGGTCAGGAGTTCAAGACCAGCCTGGCCAAGACGGTGAAACCCCATCTCTACTAAAAATATAAAAAATTAGCCGGCCATGGTAGTGGGTGACTGTAATCCCAGTTACTCGGGAGGCTGAGGCAGAGAACTGCTTGAACGCAGGAGGCAGAGGTTGCAGTGAGCCGAAATTGTACCATTGCACTCCAGCCTGGGCGACAGAGTGAGACTCTGTCTCAAAAAAAAAAAAAAAAATTAGCCAGGCGTGGTGGTGCGCACCTGTAATCCCAGCTACTCGGGAGGCTGAGGCAGGAGAATTGCTTGAACCCAGGAGGCGGAGGTTGTAGTGAGCTGAGATCACGCCACTGCACTCCAGCCTGGGCAACAGAGCAAGACTGTCTCAAAAAAAAAAAAAAAAAGAAAGAAAATCTGCTGAGCACTCTAGGGAAAAAAGTAAAAGAGAATGAGATCATGTCCTTTGCAGCAACATGAATGGAGCCGGAGGCCGTCATCCTAAGCAAACTAATGCAGGAACAAAAAACCAAACACCACATGTTCTCACTCAGAACTGGGAGCTAAACATTGAGTGCACAGGGACGCAAAGAAGGATGCAAAGAACAATAGATATGGGCCTACTTGAAGGTGGAGAGTGAGAGCCGTAAAACTACCTATTGAGGCCTGGCTGGATGGCTCACGCCTGTAATCCCAGCACATTGGGAGGCCAAGGCGGGCGGATCACCTGAGGTCAGGAGTTCGAGACTAGCCTGGCCAACATGGTGAAGCCCCATCTCTACTAAAAATACAAAAATTAGCCGGGTGTGGTGGTGAGTGCCTGTAGTTCCAGCTACTCAGGAGGCTGAGGCAGGAGAATTGCTTGAACCCAGGAGGCAGAGGTTGCAGTGAGGCGAGATCATGCCACTGCACTCCAGCCTGGGTGACAGAGTGACACTCTTTCTCAAAAACCAAAACAAACTACCTATTGGGTATGGTACTTATTACCTGGGTGACAAAACACTCTGTATACCAAGCATGCAATTTATCTGTAGAACCGACCTGCACATGTACCCCTGAAACTAAATAAAAGTTGAATTTGTAAAAAAAAGAAAAGAAAAAAATTATATGCTGAGGTTGCTAAGACCTATGGTAAGAACAAATCTATCTGTGAAATTATGAACGTGATGTTGTTATCATTGTCCTTTTTGGTTACTCTTGTTGTTCATCTCTTATTGTGCCTAATTTATAAATGAAATTGTTTCACGGGTATGGGTGTATAGGAGCAAACATAGTATATATGGGCTCAGTACTATCCATGGTTTCAGGCCTCCTCTGGGGATCTTGGAATGTATCCCCCAAGGACAATGGGGGGGACTGCGGTTGTCTTTTGGTCTCCTGTCCCCCACTCAACTCTGCCACCCCCACTCCCATCCACCTCGTGTGTCTCATCCACTGTCCTGGATCCACCTGTGGCTTCCCTGATCCTTAGTCCTGGCCTCTGGGCCACCCTTCAGGTTTGCTCTTTCATCTGGATGTCCCACAAGTCCCACCACCTCACTGAGCCCCCAAACCATTCATTTTCTTAAGTTTTTAAAATATTTGTTTATTTATTTATTTATTTTCTACTGAGACAAAGTTTCACTGTGTCTCCCGGGTTGGAGTGCAGTAGCGCGATCATTGCTCACTGTAACCTTGAACTTCCAGGCTCAAGTGATCCTCCTGCCTCAGCCTCCAGAGTAGCTGGGACTGCAGGTGTACTCCACTGTACCTGGCTAATTTTTTAAAAATTTTTCTGTAGAGATGGAGTCTTTCCATCTTTCCCAGGCTGGTTTTGAACCCCTAGGCTCGAATAATCCTCCCATATCAGCCTCCCAAAGTGCTGGGATTACATCTGTGAGCCACCACACCTGGCCCAAACCATTTTTTGATCCATTCAGTAGATGTCTAATGGGCACTCACTGTGCCTGGCTCTTTTTGGATATTGCTGAGACACAGGAATAAAACAATATAGCCTGTGCCCTCTTGGAGCGCACCTTCTTCTGCACGACCATTCACGGATTCATTTGGCAAACAATTCTCATGCTGGGGAGTGGCACCCACAGTCAGGAAAGATGTCGTCTGTGTTCCTGAGGAGCTCAGAATAGGCAGAGGCTGTACTGCATGACAGCTAAGGGTATGGGCTTTGGAACCAGGCAGCCAGGTTCTGCCTCTAGCCAGCTGTGTGATCTTGGGTGAATCGCCTCCCTCCCTGAGTCTCAGTTTCCCTCTGTAAGATGGGGGAAGTAATGATACCTACTTTGTAGGGTGGTTGTGGGAATTAAAGGAGATTTTTTTTTTTTTGAGATGAGTCTGACTCTGTCACCCAGGCTAAAGTGCAATGGCATGACCTTGGCTCATTGCAACGTCTGCCTTCCAGGTTCAGGTGAACCTCAGCCTCCTAAGTAGCTGGGACTATAGGTGTGGCCACCATGCCTGGCTAATTTTTTTTTTTTTTTTCTGAGGTGAAGTCTTGCTCTGTCACCCAGGGTGGAGTGCTGTGGTGTGATCTCAGCTCACTGCAACCTCCGTCTCCCAGGTTCAAGCAATTCTGTAATCCCAAGTAGCTGGGCCACTGCACTCCAGCCTGGGTGACAGAGCAAGACTCCGTCTCAAAAAATAAAAAAAATAAATAGAATAGTCCACTTGCAGCTCGGAAGAGGGGGCCATGTATTCGTAGGCTCCTGTGCCCTATGAGTCTGTGTGCCTGTGGCTGCCAGTTCCCTCTCAGGACTGGGCTGGTGTGCTAGGAAGCACCAAGAGCATCCCATGTCGGATGTCAGTGAACCCATGGGTGGAATCAGAGAGAGACGTCTGCAGGTGGCCAAGGCAGCAGTGACAGAGACCACGCACACTCAACGCGAGAGAGAGAGGGAGGGAAGGAGAAAGATCCAGACAGGAAGAAACAGGGAGATGCAGGGAAATGACAGGAGAAGAGCCTGGGGTGGGAGGGAGAGAAAACAGAACTGCTGGATGTGCAGGGTCAGCCCTGCCACCCCTCCGGCCTGGGGTTCTGCCGCACAGGACCTTCTGCTCACAGTTCTCCCAGGGACGTTTGGAACCGGACCATTCTGGATACCAGGGGTGGGGTGTGGCTTCATTCTAAGCATGGATGCCTGAGGGCACTGGGGCTCTGTCTCCTCAGGGATCCTTGAAGAGAAAGGCCAAAGGGATACATTAGTAACTAAAGTCTGTCATTCACATAGTGTTCTTTCTTCCTGTTACACATTTCTATGAATTTTGAAATATTTATGATGTTATGTTTACCATTTTGATCTCAGGAGGAATACTCTCCCCGCTCCAAAACTTCCCTCTTCTTTACTTGTGAATCTCTGTCCTCTTTCTCCAGAAACCTTACCAACTATTGATATTTTTACCGTCCCCTTGGTTTTGCCTTTTCCAGAATGTCATGTAGTTGGAGTCATGTATTAGGTTGACGCAAAAGTAATTGCGGTTTTCCCATTCTTTAAATGCCAGAAACCGCAACTAGTTTTGCACCAACCCAGTATTATGTAGCTTTTTCAGATGAACTTACTTCACTAATTAACATAAAGTCACCCTGCTCTGCCGCCTTTCTGTGTGTCTCATCCAGTGAAGGCATGCCCTCACAGTCTTTCTGATATATGCCATTGTCTTTTCTATGCCTTGTTGGAGAACTCCTTTAAATCACAGAATAATACTGTGTTTTATGGATGATTTTTTTTTTCATTCACCTCTTGAACATCTTGCTTCTAGTTTGGGTGGTTATAGATAAAGCTGCTGTAAACATTCCTGTGCAGGCTTTGTGTGGACATAACTTTTCATTTCAGCTGAGTACATACCTAGGAGCACAATTTTTGGATTATATTGTGAAAATATGTTAGGATTCATAAGAATTTGGTGGATTTCATAAGAGAAATCATTTGGTTCTGGTGTTGTCTTTTTGGAATGTTCTTAATGTCAATTCACTTAATAGGCAGAGGCTGTTCAGATTGTCTGTTTCTAGTGTGACCTTGGGAAGATTATGTCTCTCAAGGAATTGAGAGACTGTGTTATCAAACTGTGGGAATAGAGTCATTCATAACAGTCCCTGATTATCCTTTTAATGCTCAACAGTTTGGTAGACGTGGCCCCTCTTTCATTTCTAATATGAGTAATGTGTGGTTTGTTTGTTTTTTTTTTTTTTTGCTTTGTTAGCCTGCAGAGGTTTATTAATTGTTAACAATTATAATTAATAATTATAATAATTAATTGGGGGGAATTATCGTTGTTAATGTAGATGAATGCACATCCAGGAAAATGTTACCTATACTGAGCAATGATGGCAACAACTTGTTTTTTCAGTTCTGGTTAGGACATAGGCATTTATCCAGCTCTCTGTCCAAATACACACACACACACGCACACACATACACACGCTCACGCATTTACTATGAATAAAATCTATCGTACTCCTATCATTTAGAAAATCACATAATCCGGCTGGGTGCAGTGGCTCATGCCTGTAATCCCGGCACTTTGGGAGGCTGAGGTGGGTGAATCATGAGGTCAAGGGTTCGAGACCAGCCTGGCCAACATGGTGAAATCCTGTCTCTACTAAAAATACAAAAAATTAGCTAGGCGTGGTGGCAGTTGCCTGTAATCCCAGCTACTCAGGAGGCTGAGGAAAGAAAGTCACATAATCCATTAGGTGATATTCCAATGTTTATTTAACTCATAACTTCTATAATACATTAATTTGAACTTACAGAAATAAAAAAGCATTTGGAAATTGATCCCAGAATACAGAATATTTCTATAGGAAACAAGATGTGAACCATAAGACTCAATGAGTTGGATGGTGGCAATAATTAATACTTAGGACTCAATTTATAAACTAATCAAATTAGATTAAGTATAATCATGAATTGTCCCATATTTTTCTCCTATGACTTTGTATAACGCTTTTACCGAGTAGAGCGTTCCTAAGTCTGCCCACCCAAGTAATTTTCTTAACCTGTTTTTTGTTTTTTTGCAGTGGGGGCTTATTTGGCCTCCCCAGGATGGACTGGAGCATCAGTAGTGCCCGGGTTTATCACAGGACAGATACTCAAGACACTCTTATCACCATTAGGTGGACTTGGAGGAGCAAAAAACAAGTGCAGTGGCTCCTCAGCAGAGACACTCCTGAATGTATAGACATGGGAACCACCTTCAGCATCAAAAAAGGAAACGTTCTGCATGCCCATATCCAGAAAAATCCCCACTCGCTGTAACTTGCGGTCTACGAAGAGGAAAGTCAGCGGCACCGTGCTGGCAGAGAGGCGGCTTCCATCCCTCAAACTCACAGTCCAGAATCCACGCTCTGTGGTCAGATGGATCCTCCCTTTGCGGTGAACAGATTCTCTGCAGACTCCCAGGTCCCATTCTGTGCTTGTTCCCACGTCCACCTCCCAGTAGTGGCGGCCACAGGTAAAGCGAGGGGAGCCCAGGATGCAAATGGACACGTCAAATCTCTCGGCAAGGTCTTGCCGATTCTGTGTGATGCACCCACTTCGGACGCTCCTGAGGTCGTCAGAAATGAGGAGGAAGTTGTTGGCTGTGTCGGCATCCAAGGTCATATCCACTGTGAAAAGGAAAAAAAGTTGATCAGAAAATGGACAGAAGCCAACCCCATGCCTCTCCTCTACTTCAAAGGCCCAAATATCTCTTGACTTTGGTTTCTTTAATTCTCTTCTTCCCCCAAAATCAAAACTTTTCATGAGGCAACTTCCCTGACTAGTTCAAATTCTCATAGGTATGCTTTGTGGCAATACCCAACTCTTATTCACAGTAGCAATTATTTTACTTTATGTCACGTGTTTGCTTCATTGGACTTTTCTTCATTTAGAGTGGAGGGTCTCTGAAGGCAGACACCATGACCCCCTTTCTACCACCTTGATGCATGAAAAAATGAATGATAATTAAGACAATGCAAATGGTCGATGTTAAATATGTTTCTGCTTCCATCTTGTATTGCTCAACTCAGTATATAGAGCATGATTCCAGGCCTTTGTTTTCCATGTTTGTAAGCAAATTAATTGTGCATGGTTCTGACAGCAGGTAGGGTATCTCTGCAGCTGACAATGTGATGACAGAGGTGCCGGTCCTGGACATTAGGAGGCTCCAAGGCCAGGAGGAAGAGGGGGGCCTTAGATGAAAGAATGTTTTCCATCCTACATGGGAGGTGAAACCTTAAGCAAAACAATGGTAAATTTTGGAGTGAAGAGAAAGGTATTTGAAAGTTGTTTGTTGGCTGAGCGCGGTGGCTCACACCTGTAATCCCAGCACTTTGGGAGGCCGAGACGGGTGGATCACGAGGTCAGGAGATCGAGACCATCCTGGCTAACACGTGAAACCCTGTCTCTACTAAAAAACATACAAAAAAATTAGCCGGACATGGTGGCGGGTGCCTGTAGTCCTAGCTACTCGGTAGACTGAGGCAGGAGAATGGCATGAACCCAGGAGGCGGAGCTTGCAATGAGCAGAGATCATGCCACTGCACCTCCAGCCTAGGCGGCAGAGCGAGACTCCATCTCAAAAAATAAAAAAAAAAAGAAAGTTGTTCGTCATAACTGACTGATCGTAGAGAATAAGGGCAGTAAATACAAAGGTCAATAATTTAATGCATTGGGTATGTGGTTGATAGGTGAAGCTGCCAATTCTCATGGAGGAGGCAGTGTGATCTGGCCTAAAGAAAATTAATTGTCCAGAGCATTCTGAAAAAAAAATCTACAGAACATATGATCCTTCAAGTCAAAAAACTGATGATCACCAATATAGATTTTATAGATTACAGTAAGACTTGAGGAGACTGATTGCTGTTTGATGGTGAATTAGGGAATGAAATGAGATGAGTGGACATGGACAAGGAAGGAGGAAGAGGGTTCCAAACATGACTTAGGCAGGGTGAATCTGTCCTCCATATTTCAGCAGAGACACAGTCAGGTATGGGTAGGTGGATGAGTAGAGATCATGGGTGTCAGGGCAGAAGCCACCACCATTTATAGGTGTAATTCTTTGCCCAGGCTGACCATAACCTCTTCATTTAAATGTCCCTATTCCCCAGAGTTATGGAGAGTGATAGTATTTTCTGTAGCCAGGACCCCTGTTGAAGTCCATGGCACACCGATGAGGAGACCAGCGTCTGCAACTCGCCCCACTCACAGAAACAAACACCATAGGTGCTCCATTCCAAACTCTTCCCAACCCTGGGGTGAGGTTGTTTGGTACAGTGGGTGCCAATACTCACTGTGCATTAGAATTACCAGGCCCATTTAAATGTCAGAGTCCTGGGAACCTTTGCTAGAGAGAAATTCAAATTAAGTTGCTCTGTGTTTTTGCTACTCAGCAAAGTCCCCAAGCCAGCGGGATCAATCCTGAGACTTCCCAGTTCAGCATCTGCATTTTAACAAGATCCCCAGGTAATCTGAGCACACTAAGTTTAGAGAATCCCTTGTCTAACCCATGACATAGACATCAGGTTTTTTTTTTTGAGACGGAGTCTCACTCTGTCACCCAGGCTGGAGTGCAGTGGTGCAATCTTGGCTCACTGCAAGCTCCGCCCCCCCCAGGTTAACGCCATTCTCCTGCCTCAACCCCCAAGTAGCTGGGACTACAGGCACCCACCACCAAGCCTGGCTAATTTTTTGTATTTTTAGTAGAGACAGGGTTTCACCGTGTTATCCAGGATGGTCCCGATCTCCTGACCTCGTGATCCACCCGCCTCGGCCTCCCAAAGTGCTGACATTACAGGCATGAGCCACCATGCCCAGCCAGCCTTTTTTTTGGAGATCACCAGGTGATTCTGTATGTTGTCAGGGCTGAGAATCTGATGATGAAGAAGCATCTCAATTTTAGGTGCCAGACAGCAGCTAATCCCCATATGGAATGAGGGGCCAGTTGCACAGATGATTTTTCCTGGTCTGGTCGTAGGAAGGGGGCAGTGTATACAGATCCCTCACCTTGGAACTTCCGCATCCTTGGGTTCATCTGCAGAATCTTCTTCAGCTTGGGCTCCAGTTCCTTGATGTGGGAAGCCAGCCTCTCTAGCTGCCAACTGGGCCTGATTTTGTTCTTCTGAGAGACCATGGAACAGCAACAGCAAAGTAGATCCTCCCCATGGGGCTCCTTCTGCAGTGAATTGATGCACTTGAAGCAGACAGCGCATCCACACTCCAGGGACATTGGTTTCTCTAGATAGTCTGAGCAGACGGGACAGCTGCTTGCTTCTTGGAAGAGTGCAGCCATGTCCACTGCCAGGGGAAAAGTGCACAAGGGAAGAAAATTTCCGTGAGGTGAAAGCCTGTTAGTTGTGACAAGTGACAACCTTTTCATGCATAAAGGTATTGTGTCCCAGCTTTGTCACTTCTAGAACAAGACCATGAGTACAAACACTCAAGCACATCCCCCCACCCCCCGTCTTCAGAGATTTGAAGTTCTATTGGGAAAGAAAGTCACGAATCATCACTGTGCTCTGAACTGAGGTGGAGGAAGGGTCCATTCTACTGGTGACCCAGCAACTGAGCCTGAGCCAGTGACACGGCAGCACCCATGTGAGGAACAGCGAGCTGGGGTCATTTCACCTCCTCCTAGGGGAACCCCAGCAAGAGATTGATTGATGAACATAAGAATTAGGGGCTGGGAGGCCGGGCGTGGTGGCTCAGGCCTATAATCCCAGCACTTTGGGAGGCTGACGTGAGTGGATCATCTGAGGTCGTCAAAAGTTCGAGACCAGCCTGATGGGTGAAACCCCATCTCTACTGAAAATACAAAAGAATTAGCCAGGCGTGGTGGCACACGCCTGTAATCCCAGATACTTGGGAGGCTGAGGCAGGAGAATTGCTTGAACCTGGGAGGCAAAGGTTGCAGTGAGCCAAGATCCAGCCATTGCACTCCGGCCTGGACAACAGAGTGAGACACCATCTCAAAAAAAAAAAAAAAAAAAAAGAGAGGGACTGGATGCAGTAGCTCACATCTGTAATCCCAGCACTTTGCGAGGCCAAGGCTGGAAGATCCCTTGAGCCAAGGAGTTTGAGATCAGCCTGGGCAACACAGGAAGACCCCCTCTCTACAAATAATAGAAAAATTAGCAGTGAGCAGAGATCACACCAGGTCACTCCAACCTGGACAACAGAGTTAAGACCCTGTCTCACCAAAAAAAAAAAAAAAAAAATCACATCCTTCTCCAGCCTTGGAAATGAATACCAAATTGACTGCCACCACTCCTAGACTGGAGATCTGGGGATCCAGGGTGACTGGTTTTCAACTCTGAGGCAGCACTCAGACAGCCTTTGTTGAATTCATTAATTACGAATTTCTCTCATTCATCCCCCAAGGCATAACCCCCATTTCTAGGCATCTAAGGAGGAAAAACACACACACAGGCATGGGCTCACCTCTTCTGCTGGAAGCTCCTCTGTCCTCCAGCTGCTTCCACTGGGCGCTCAGGTCTTGTGCGGAAGGGGCACATGAGGGCGTTTTATTGGTGAGATTCCCACCTCCCACTGGGTCATGCCCTTCCACACCCTCTAACCTAATGAGGCTTTGATTTAATTATAACAGGGAATTAGGTTTTTACTGGTGATATATCTCCAGTTAATTGTAACTTTAGTAAATCCTTCATCCTGACAGTGTATTTTTCTTTCATATGAAGATAAGATTAAATTGCCTTTATATTAAATTAGGCTTAATGTACTAACTTCAAAAGCTTATTTTAGAGATGTTTCCATCAGTTGTCAGTAAAGATAATTCCTGTAATATGTTGTAGGCTTCAAGCTTTGCTTGGAAACCTGAAGTATTAAGTATGATTGGATTTGCAATTTTACAAAATGGTTTAAATTCATATACATCAGACTCAAAGGTAATAGGGGCATGCATTCCATTGAGGAAATTCTAGGGAATTTTTATTTATTTTCATTGGTTTATTTCTGGTTTTGAAAAAATTTCATAATTCATAGGAAAAAATTGGATAATTACTATTTTGACAAATGACCATTAAGCTTCTTGGACCTTGAGTACTTCACACAGTGTTAAGATAAAAGTCACAATTTAAAAAAAAAAGATGATTTTCTTGTGAAACTTGTGTTCTCAAATAAAAATTGTTACCCGTGAAGTGAGTTGTGCTTTCTTCCATTTGAATCAACCCCGAATCTTTTCATTTTCATGCCTTTCTGTGTAGTGGGATCTTTACTGCTTTGTTTTCAAATTTCAAATAATTTGAATATAATCTTATCATTTTCCCTATTCCCTTTGGCACATATTAAAGGAATTTTCTCTTTTTGCATAATTAAAAATAAAGACCTAATTTTGGTCGGCTTTAAATATGATTCCTCATGGGATTAGAGGACTCTGAGACACTCAGGTCTTGTTTTGGTTTACTTTTTTTTCCTCTTTACTTTCAGTTGACATGTAATAATTGTACATATTTATGGCACACAGTAATATTTTGATACATGCATAAAGTGTGTAATAATCAAGTCAGGATAATTAGCACACTCTAAACATTTCTTTCTTTTTTTTTTTTTTTTGAGACAGATTCTTGCTCTGTCAGCCAGGCTGGAGTGCAGTGGCACAAACTTGGATCACTGCAACATCCGGCTCCTGGGCTCAAGCAATTCTCCTGCCTCAGCCTCCTGAGCAGCTGGGATTACAGGCATGTGCCACCATGCCTGGCTAATTTTTTTTTTTTTTGTATTTTTAGTAGAGACAGCATTTCACCATTCTGGCCAGGCTAGTCTCTAACTCCTGACCTCAGGTAACCCGCCTGCCTCGGCCTCCCAAAGTGCTGGGATTACAGGCGTGAGCCACCGCCTGTATTTATTATTTCTTTGTGATGGGAGCCTTCCTAATCCTCTTAGCTTTTTGAAAATATGCAATCATGTACAAGTGACCATATTTACCCCACAGTTGTGCTAGAGCCCATTTCTCCCATCTAGCTGTAATTTTATATCCAATTACCGACCTCTCCCCAAGCTCCCCTCCCCCTTACCCTTCCCAGCCTCCACTAAAGCCCATTTCTCCCATCTAGGTATAATTCTGTATCCAATAACCAACCTCTCCCCAAGCTCCCCTGCCCCTTACCCTCCCAGCCTCTATACCCACAATTCTATGCTCTGCTTCTGTGAGCTCAGCATTTTTCATTTAGCTCCCATATAGGAGTGAGAACATGTGGTATTTATCTTTCCAGACCTGATTTATTTTGCTTAACATAATGTCCTCCAGGCTGAGACTCAGGTCTTGACCAGAAAACTGATGAATCTGCATGTATCATGGAAATGGACAAGTTAGTGATTAACTTGTACTTAATTCATAAAATAACAGCTTTGTTTTCAAATTTCAAATAACTTGAATATAATCTATTTCCCGCTCCTAAAATGTATCACATATTAAATAAAGATTTTTTTCTTTGTATATATATTTTTGAAAGACCTACATTTAGTTCTATTAAAAAATTATGTACAATGGGATGAGATCACTCCTTGGGATTCAGTGTCTGAGCAAGAAAACAAAGCTTGGGAGACAGTGTGTAGGGAGCCAAGTTAACTTTACATGATTGGAATGAATTGGATCCGGTCATAAAGCAATCATTTGGGGTTTGCTCTCTGCTGGATTCTGGGTCACTCCACAACCACATGTAAAGACAGAGTCCAGCCCTGGTGTATCCTGTATGTGAGAAAAACTTTCTGCCAAAACCAGGCTGGATACAACGTAAAGAGTGTGAGAATGACTTAGGAAATGAGTCAAATTCACAAGATGATCCTTTCAGATGCTCCAGGGAAGAAGGAACAGACAACAAGATAGATTTGCAGAAGAGATGTGATGTCAATGAGACAGCAGCACGGTGCAGGGTGAGGCAGCCAGGGCACAGAGAGCCAGCAAAAGCCACTCGGACAGGTGTGGGAGGGACACGGAGCCACGGCCCATAAAACCCAAAGGACAACTGTAACAATACTTTTTAGTATTTAAAAGGCAATTTCTTATTAATCTACTTAATTGACATTCATGGTTTGAGATGTTCCATATTTTTCTGCTGTAACTTTGTTCCATTATCTTGTGGCAAGCAGAAAAGTTTCTTGCATTGAGCATAAAGTGATTGTCTAAATGGTTTTGTGGCTAAAAGTTTATTTGCCCTGCTCAGGAGAAACTGTAGATTTGTCAATGCCAAGATTAATCACAGGACAGATAGGAAGCCTTGGTCATCGATAATTGAATCTGCAAGAGCATAAAATGGGCACAGTGGCTCTGCAGCAGAAATCTTAGTGAATGTAAAGATATGAGTCCCATCATTAATGTTATAAAAGGAAATCATTGTCATACCCATATCCAGGAAAATGCCTACCCTGCATAGCCCCGGACTCACCCAGAGGGTGGTTAAAGGCACAGTGCTGGCTGCAAAGAGCTTTTCTTTCCTCATACCCACAGTCCAGAAGCCAAGTTCTGAAGACCACACAATTCTCTTGTCGATTAACAGATTCTTTGCAGGCACCCAAATCCCATTATTTGCCTGTCCCCATGTCTACCTCCCAGTAATGGTGTCCAGAGGTGAAGCGAGGGGAGCCCAGGACACAGATGACTTGTTTGAATCTCGGCATACTCTGTGCGGTTCTAAGAAATCCACAATGGACACTCCACAGGTCTTCAGAAATGATGAGTCGATTGTTGGCTGTGTCAATATCTGACGTCATATCCACTGTGGAAAGAAAAAAGGTAAATCAGCAAATAGAAACTTCCCTGCATTCCCTGATTCCGTAGAATTTCTTAGAGAAGATTGAAATAGAATTGTAACAAATCCCTCTTGTTCATAGTAAGCATTCTTTTTACATTTTGATTATTCAAGATTTCTTGAGATCCATGAAGGCAGAAACCATGTCTGTTGTTTACTCTCAAAATCATAAAATTTAGCAGACTCTGTTCAAATATAGATATCTAATGAATATCTAGATGATGGAAAAACTATTTATTATACTATTAGATCAGGCTGTGTACGGCGGCTTATGTCAGTAATACCAGCAATTTGGGAGATTGAGGTGGGAGGATCGCTTGAGCTGAGGAATTTGAGACCAATCTGGGCAACATGAAACCACATCTCAAAAAAATTTGTGTGTATGTGTGTGTGTGTGTGTGTGAGTGTGTGTCAGAAATCCAGATTCTCAACCAGCCTAGTCCAATAGAAGGAGAATTTGCATTTTATAAAAGATCTCCAGGTAATTTTAAATTTTTCTGTAGACATTAAAAAAAATTCAACAATACTTTAAATAACATATTATAAGCTTGTATATCCAGAATTATTGTCACTTCCACATGGGGTACACCCATGTTTCAAGGGCCCCATAGCCACTGGTGGCTACCATATTGGGCAGCACAGGTCTAGGGTATGACTTAAATGTTATATTTTCTTCAAAATCTTCTGTTGTCTCTAATCTATACTCACAGCTGAGAACTGTTGTTGGGTGGGCATACACATTTTAGGTGCCAGAATTCAGCTAATGCCCCTATTTAATGGAGAGCCTTTTGAACAGTTGCTTTTTCCAAGGCTGTTGGTGGGCCGAGCGCAGGTTATACAGATTTCTGACCTTGAAACTTCCGCATCCTTGGGTTTTAATATAGAATTCTTCTCAGCTGGGGCTCCACTTCCTTGATTTTGGAAACCAGTTTTCCCAGCAGGAGATGGGGCGTGATGTCTTTTATAGTGACCACAGAGCAGATGGCGCACAATACATCATCCCCATTGGGCTCCTTTGGAAATGAACTGATACAGCGGAAGCAGCAGAGATATCCACACTCTAGGTATGTGGGTTTTTATTATTTTCTTTTTTCTTTTCCTTTTTTTTTTTTTTGAGACGGAGTCTTGCTCTGCTGCCCAGGCTGGAGTGCTGTGGTGCCATCTTGGCTCACTGCAGCCTTTGCCCCTGGGTTCAAGTGATTCTCCTGCCTCAGCCTCATGAGTAGCTGGGATTACAGGCACTGCCACAGCACCCGGCTAATTTTTGTATTTTTAGAAGAGACGGGGTTTCACCATCTTGGCCATGCTGGTCTTTAACTCCTGACCTCGAGATCCACCCACCTCAGACTCCCAAAGTGCTGGGATTACAGGCGTGAGCCAATGTGCCTGGCTAGTAAGTGGGTTTTTCAGGATAAGATAGGCAGCCGACACATCGACTTGCTTCTTTAAAATGTTCTGCCATGGCCAATGTCTGCAGAAACGGTACATGATATTGGAGTTCAATTAACTGAATGACAATACTCCTTTAGGCTCTTTCACTTTTACATGCATAGAGACATATCAGTGCCTGCTATAAACAATCACTAGTGATAGGTGATAAAAACACTATAAAATACATATAAGAAGAGTCATGGCCTTGAACTTCTAATATCGGAAATGCTAGTTGGAATGAAGGACATGATTCTTCAGTTGAGAAGCTGGTGTTGTGAAGGGTCTAGGCCCAGCGGTCCAGCCACATGTGGTTCTTGAGCACCCCAAATGGGGCTTATTGGAATTGGGATGTGCCTTTGTTGTAACCAAGCGAGTTATAGAGAAACGCCACACTTTGAGACTAATTCAGGAGTCCTTTATTAGCCGGCGACCGAGAGACGCTAACGCTCGGAATTCTCTCGGCCCTGAAGAAGGGGCTAGATTTTCTTTTATACTTTGGTTTAGAAAGGGGAGGGGGAATTGAGCTGAAGCAATCTTACAGAAGTAAAACAGGCAAAAAAGTTGAAAAGACAAATGGTTACAGGAAAACAAACAGTTCCAGGTGCAGGGGCTTTAAATTCATCACAGGGTGATAGGAGGGGGGCTCCAGACACAAATGCAGGGGGCTTTAGAGTACTGTCACCTGAGCAAATTCCTGGGAACTGTGGACATAGTTTGCCACAGTATCTTATCAGTTAATTGCACTCTTTGACGCGCTGAGAGTCAGCTTGCACAAGTTAAGTCCTTGAGGGAGGGAGTGGGTAAGGAGCCCTTAATGTCTTGCAAATGAAGGAGCCGAATGGAATCCATCCAGCTTTCTTAGCTAAGAGAGAGTCAATCAAGTTAATGTAAGTTAGCGTATCACACCTTCAGTGTAAAATGCGCACTGGATTTTGAAGAGGTATGAGAAAAAGAGAATGTAAGTTATCTTATTAAGAACTTTGGCCAGGTGTGGTGGTTCATGCCTGTAATCCCAGCACTTTGGGAGGCCGAGGTGGGTAGATCACGAGGTCAGGAGTTCAAGACCAGCCTGACCAACATGGTGAAACCCCATCTCTACTAAAAATACAAAAAAAATTAGCTGGGCTTGGTGGCGCACATCTGTAATCCCAGCTACTCAGGAGGCTGAGGCAGGAGAATCACTTGAATCGTCTCCGGGAGATGGAGGTTGCAGAGAGCTGAGATCGCACCACTGCACTCCAGCCTGGGCAACACAGTGAGACTCTATCTCAAAAAAAAAAAAAGAACTTTTAAAGATTGATTACACGCTGAAATAACTTTTTTGTATTAAAATTTACATTTTGTAATTTAATGTGGCTACTAGAAAACTTATCATTGCATATGTGGATTACATTATATTTCTACTGGACAGCTATGTACTAGACTCAGAGACCCTCCAACACCCCTATCCCCTGCAAAATCGTTCTAATCTGGCTGTGGCAAAAGCCCCTCCTAAGTAGCTGAAAGGTTGAATAGGTCAAAGAGAGAAACTCCATCATCATCTCATCGAGTTGGCCACACTATGATTAAGGAAAATGAAGACTGTCATTTCTCCAGACTGGGTACTGAAAATTTAAGTTCTGCTGTCTGCTTTTAGAAGGTGACCCAGGGTCTCTCTAAGTGCACACACTGTGCCTGGCATTGAGCTGCCCTCAAACAATGTTGCCGAATTCATAGTGACTCCATCCTGCAGCCCTTGCTCTCTAATACCTGCCCTTGGTAGGAATCTAGTAAGTCGAGAAAAACTACATAAGCCTGGATGTGTGTCTCCTCCATTAGGTTCTCCCCTGGCCTCCAGTAGCTTCCACCGACAGCTCAGTTTTGAGTGAGCTCCACTTACAAGGGGTTTTTATTACAAGAGCCTCTCCTCCCCTCTCATTTACATCCTGCTTATCTTCCTTAACCCAATCAGATTTTGATTTAATCATGCCGTAATTTTAACTGAGGTTGTAAACTGGTTACCCCAAGTAAAGATTATTTTAACTTAAGGGTTTTTAAAATTGATACAGACTAATATTGCCATCTCATTCTAAATTAGGCCATGTATATTATGGGTGTTGATAAGATTTGGGATTTCTGTAGCTATCTGCTTAGGAAAAATAAAAAGATTCAGGATTAGGGCTGAAACTGTTACAATGAAATATCTGGCATTAAGATTAATCTATGAATAGGGCTAGTTTCAAGTAGTTTTCTCATGAGAATAATATCTCCTCATGTTTTGATCAAAGAAATCTATCAAACTTACTAAGATGTTTTTTCTAAAATCACACTCATGTGACCATTTATTTAAAGGGACTTTTTCTCCAAGATCGTGAAAATGCACATTTAGAAGTTTGGTTTAAAAGAAACCCTAAAACTGTTCACATACAATCAAGCAGAGCCTTACAAGATCCTGTTTTTGTTGTTGTTTTGTTAGTTACAGTATTAATACTAAGATTTTTAAAAACTTTGATAATTTTACTGTTTCCATTACATCACAATATATATAAATATAAAAGTATACATATTTAAATGCGTATATATACATTTATAAACAAATGTATGGATACATTTGTTTAAATGCACACTGGATTTGAAAGGCTGAAAAAGAATTAAATTATCTCATTAAGATATTTGAGTGTCAGGCACCTGCAGTCCCAACTACTTGAGAGGCTGAGATGGGGTGATTGCTTGAGCTGTGGAGTTCATGCCCAGCCTGGGTATCATACTGAGACCACCCCACTGCCCCCCAAAAATCATCTTTGAAAACTGCATCATGTAAACCCATGTTTAAATGGCAAAACATTTTGCCAATTAAAATAATTGTGACTTGATTTTTTTTCACTTTCTTCAACGTGGCTACTAGAAAACATGTAATTACATAGACGAGTCACATCATATTTCTATAGTATACTGATACATCCAACGTGCTGGAAACATTGTTTCTGATAACCTCAGGAATGTCCAAAGTGGGCATTCAAAATAGAAATAAAAGAGAGACCGGAGAGATTCACCAAGTCAATTTGCACCCTGAGCTCTCCTTGGGTGACCTCTGGCTACCATACTGGGAATAAATGTGGGAACAGGCAAAGAGTGGGATTTCACCATTTTCAGGTTGTTCTCTGTTGGCATATACAGTTGCTACTGATTTTTATGTGTTGATTTTATATCCTAAAACTTTACTAAGTTTGTCATTTCTAACAGTTTTTTGGTGCGGTCTTTAGGTTTTTCTAAATATAAGATCATATCATTTACAAGTAAGGCCAGTAAGACTTCTTTTCCAATTTGAGAGCCTTCAATCTTATTATTTGAGATTGGTCTGTTCAGGTTTTTTGTTTCTTTCTGATTCAATCTTGGTAGGTTATATGTGCCCAGGAATCTGTGCATTTCCTCTAGTCTTCCCAATTTGTCAGTATTAAAATATAGTCACTCATAATAGTTTCTAATGATCCTTTGTATTTCTGGATTTCCAGTTGTAATGTCTCCTTTTTCATTTCTGATTTCTTAATTTATTTGGGTCTTCTTCTTCTTCTTCTTTTTTCTTAGTTAGCCTAGCTCACAGTTTGTCAATTTTGTTAATCTTTTCAAAAAATCAACTTCTTGGCTGAGAACAGTGGCTCATGCCTGTAATCTCAGCACTTGGGAGGCTGAGGTAGGAGGATTG
Organism: Homo sapiens; assembly: GCF_000001405.40. Classification (NCBI taxonomy): domain Eukaryota; kingdom Metazoa; phylum Chordata; class Mammalia; order Primates; family Hominidae; genus Homo; species Homo sapiens. The sequence continues at coordinate 29,429,291 of NC_000022.11, read as the reverse complement.
CTTGCAGCAGGAGTACAGGACCAGCCCGGGCAACATAGTAAGACCCTCGTCTCTACAAAAAATAGAAAAATTCACAGGGCATGATGGTGTGCACCTATAGTCTCAGCTACTTTAGAGGCTGGGGTGGGAGGATTGCTTGAGCCTGGAGTCCAAGGCTGCAGTGAGCCATGATCATGCCACTGCACTCCAGACTGGGTGACAGAGCGAGACCCTATCTAAAACAAAAAAATGAAAGACAAAAAACCCAACTTTTCCTTTCACTGTGAGTTTTTTAAGTCTCTATTTTGTTTAGTTCTGCTCTGATCTTTTATTATCTCTTTTCTTCTCATTTTGGGTTTGGTTTGTTCTTGCTTTTCAAGTTCTATGAGGTACATTGTTAGCTTGTTTATTTGAAAGCATTCTACTTTTTTGCTGTCAGCATTTATTGCTATTAACTTCCCTGTCAGTACTGCTTTTATTATACACCATAGATTTTGGTATATTATGTTTTCATTTTCATCTGTTTCAAGACATTTTTCAATTTCCATCTTCATTTCTTCATTGACCCAATGGTTCAGTAGCATGTGACTTGATTTATATCTTTTTGTAGGCTCCAAAACTCTGTTTGTTATTGATTTTTTGTTATATTTCATTGTGGTCTGAGAAGATTACTTAATATGATTTCAATTTTTAAATATTTTTGAGACTTGCTTTGTGACCTAACATGTGGTCCATCCTGGAGAGGATCCCATGTGCTGAGGAGAAGAATGTAGATTCTGCAACTGTTCATCTGTTAGCTCTACTTAGCCTATAATGCAGCTTCAATCTGACTTATTTTACATTACTTTATTTTATTTTACCTAGATGATCTAGGCATTTCTAAAACTGGGGTGTTGAACTCCCTAATTATTATTGTATTAGAGTCTCATTAGCTCTAATAATATTTACTTTCTATATCTGGTGCTCCTGAGTTAGGTGCATATATATTTATAATTGTTATATCCTCTTGCTGCTTTGATCTCTTCATCATTATATAATGACCTGCTATGTCTCTTTTTATGTTTTTTGACTTAATGTCTATTTTGTCTGACACAAGTGTAGCTACTCCTGCATGCTTTTGGTGAACCTTTCGTTTTTCAACATTAGCAATGAATCCCTGTTTCTTAGGGGACAGGGCTGTGAAAACGTATCCCTAAAAGTCCCAGGAGGCTGAGAGGCTGAAGAAAGCTGACAAATCCACTTTCTTAGAAACATTTAATAGGGACTTATGAACAGAAGCCCTGTCTATGTCTCCGGTTGTGGTAAGAGAAGATAGTGAATCCCTGCACCATTATCCCCCAGACCCTCTAGGGCTTATATACCATATAGAAAGGGTGAATTACAAGGGATGTGTAGGATAATTGAAGTAGAGTAACATCAAGGTTGTTTGACCAAAGGGCAGGATTCATGGCAAGTACCTGCTCTTACACAGAACAACAGGTAAACTGGAACTCTTAGAGGCCTCCTGGAACAGGGGTTCATCAGAGGCCAACATGGCAAATATCAGCACCCAAGATAGAGTTGCTTTGGCCTCCACCCTTCACCCCCACCCCCAGTCCAGCTCTTACAATCTCATGTGCCCTCCTCTTCCACGATGGGCCCTCAGTCTTTAGGGAGGATGCTTGATATGGTATACTTTTAGCAGCAGGGCATTGGCAATGGAAAACAGATTGGGCCCAGTGGGATTCCAAATAAGGGAGAATCACAAGCTGTTGAATCATCTCTAGTCTTGGAATGAGAAAGGCATCTTCCCCAGCACAGAATGGGCATCCATTGGTTGTCTGATGGAGGCTGTGTCAGAATCCTATTCAGTTAGGAATCGGGGCCAGGTGACACTAGGTCAAGGCAGGGTAAATGTGACTTGAGGGCTACAGGCAGGAACAGGCTTTCACAGGACTCAGCTACCCTAGACCCCATCTCACCAGGCCCTACTTTCTCCCTCACTCATGTGGCTCAGCCCCCACCTTGTGCCCCTACAGCCTGAGGTCAGAGACACATTCATCCCAGGGTACCTGTCAGCAGGTGAGGTGGCTTTGGGAGATGCACTTCCCAGCCCTCCTCATCAGTCCTGGGCACTGTCAGGCCCCCCCTCAGTGTTTCCAGCACAGGTGCCTTCACCAGAGCTGCTGGGTGGCCAGGCCAGGCCTGGACAGAGCCACCTTGCGGCAGATAAATGTGTTCTTTTGGAACTTAATCACAGCCACCCCAACCCCAAATCACAACTTACAAGTTGGAAGGAAACTTAAGGGTCCTGATTCTCACCACTCTTTCTGGCCCCATTTCATGGATGTAAAGGCTGAGCCTCTGCAGCAAAGAGAACCACGTTCGTCTCCACCTTCTCAATGGCCCTGCTGGGTAGAACGCCAGACTCCTCTCTCGATGTCCCCCTGGGTGCTGTCCCAAGACTAAGCCCTCTCTTTACTGCCTTGTAAGATATTACAGAAAACTGACAGGACAAAAATAAGGAAACAGGAGGATAATACAGCTAATGTTGACCCACCCACAATCAAATAACTTTTTTTTTTTTGATACAGAGTCTGCTCTATCACCCTGGCCGGAGTGCAATGGCACGATCTCTGCTCACCGCAATCTCCGCCTCCGGGTTGAAGCAATTCTCCTGCCTTAGCCTCCTGAGTAGTTGGGATTACAGGCACCCATCATGCCCAGCTAATTCTTCTATTTTTAGGAGAGAGAGTGTTTCACCATATTGGTCAGGCTGGTCTTCAACTCCTGACCTCAGGCGATCCTCCCACCTCGGCCTCCCAAAGTACTGAGATTACAGGTGTGAGCCACTGCACCCAGCCTCAAATAACTTCTTTTATACGGTTGTCTGAAACAAATTGCAGATATCATATCTATTAGTCTATATATTCCATTCGTGTCTCTAAAAATATGGACAAAAAATACATCATTACAAACCTAAATAAAGATTATCAATAATTTTTTTTTTTGACATGAAGTTTTGCTCTGTCGCCCAGGCTAGAGTGCAGTGGCATGATCTCAGATCTCCGTAACCCTCATCTCCCGGATTCAAGCGATTCTCCTGCCTCAGCCTCCCAAATAGCTGGGATTACAGGCACTTGCCACCACGTCTGGCTAATTTTTGTATTTTTAGTGGAGAAGGGGTTTGGCCATGTTAGCCAGGCTGCTCTCAAACTCCTGACCTCAGGCGATCCGCCCGCCTTGGCCTCCCAAGGTACTGGGATTACAGACATAAGCCACCGCACCCGGCCTCAAATAACTTCTTTTACACAGTTGTCTGAAACAAATTGCAGATATCCTATCTATTAGTCCATATATTCCATTCGTGTCTCTAAAAATATGGACAAAAAATACATCATAACAAACCTAAATAAAAATTATCAATAATTTTCTTTTTTTGACATGAAGTCTTGCTCTGTGGCCCAGGATGGGGTGCAGTGGCATGATCTCAGATCACCTCAACCCTCACCTCCCAGATTCAAGCAATTCTCCTGCCTCAGCCTCCCAAGTAGCTGGGATTACAGGCACCTGCCACCATCTCAGGTGATCCACCCACCGCGGCCTCCCAAAGTGCTGAGATTACAGGCGTGAGCCACCACACCCAGCCATATCAATAATTATTTCCTATTAAAAAAGAATGTTTCCCATCAAATGCTTCACAAATGTCCTGCATTTTTTTTCACTAGTTTGAGCTGTTGTCATTTTGTGCTTTTGCATTTCATTTCTATGAGAATTCAATATGGTTTGAAATTCTGACCGGTGGCTGTGTTTTTAGGCCTGCTCCATCTGCAGGTATCTTCCTAATAGGTTTTTAATTTCCTTGCAAGGCAGAAACTGAGGAGCTAAGGGTTGGTCCCAGGACCTTTCCATGGTCAAGATGCAGCCCACGGCCTCCCCAAGCTGGAACTGAGTGCTTCTCTCTGCTTCTGTGTTCCCTGCAAAGGCGTTTCTTAAACAGAAAGGTTTACCAAGGTTCAGCGTGACTTCCACAGATGCAAAAAAAGGGACAAAGTGAAGTGGGTGTTCTCCATTCAAATGCCTATTTTATTTTTTGGAGTTGTGTGGTTTTCTTTTTTTTTTTTTTTTTTGAGACGGAGTCTCGCTCCGTCGCCCAGGCTAGAGTGCAGTGGCGCAATCTCGGCTCACTGCAAGCTCCACCTCCCGGGTCCACGCCATTCTCCTGCCTCAGCCTCCCGAGTAGCTGGGACTACAGGCGCCTGCCACCACGCCCGGCTAATTTTTTGTATTTTTAGTAGAGACGGGGTTTCACTGTGTTAGCCAGGATGGTCTCGATCTCCTGACCTCGTGATCCGCCCGCCTGGGCCTCCCAAAGTGCTGGGATTACAGGCGTGAGCCACCGCGCCTGGCCTGGAGTTGTGTGGTTTTCTATAACATATAAAAACTACAGATAGGATTGGAAGGCTGTACTTGAAAGTCTCAATTTTGCGGGGGGGGGGGTGGGAGGGACAGGGAGACAGAGTCTTGCTCTGTCACCACGCTGGAGTGCTGTGGCTCAATCTTGGCTCACTGCAACCTCCGCCTCCTGGGTTCAAGTGATTCAGCCTCCCGAGTAGATGGGACTACAGGTGTGCACCACTGCGTCCAGCCTCAATTTTTTTTTTTTTTTTTTTTTTTACTTTGTCCTTAGCCACTGTCAAGGAATTGTCCTCCTTTTCAGAAGCGGGAAGCAGAATTCCTTCATCGATAGAGCATAGGAACTAAGCTCAGGTAGACCTGAGATGGTCTCCCAGCCCAGCCACTTACAAGCCATTTGACCTTGGGCAAATTATGCAACATCCCTGAGTCCTTTTCTCATTTTCTGTAAAATGGGATTCAAAGCAGTTATATTATTGACAAGATTAAATGAGGTAATGTGGGTGAAGCTCCTGCCTTTAATAGGGGCTCGGTAAATGATAGATTCTTAATAAATCTTAGAACCATCCTAGAAGCCTTGGCCATGTATCCAGGGTATCTTTGTTCCTGTGTAACTTCTTTTCTTTCATCTGTTGCCCAGAAGAACTATTGAGGTACACAGTAGATGCTCAGTAAATTTTTGTTGAATGAATGGCGGAGCTTCACTACTTTCTTTGTCCTATGGTCTTTTTTTTTTCTGAGACAAAGCAGGATTCTGTCTCCCAGGCTGAAGTGCAGTGGTGCTATCTTGGCTCACTGCAGCCTCCGTCTCCCGGGTTCCAGTGATTTTTCCGCCTCAGCCTCCTGAGTAACTGGGATTACAGGCACGCACCACCACGCCCAGCTAATTTTTTGTATTTTTAGTAGAGATGGGTTTCATCTGGTCTCGATCTCCTGACCTCAGGTGATCCACGTGCCTTGGCTGGGATTACAGGCATGAGCTATAGCACCTGGCCCTTATTGTCTTACAATAGTACTTTACACCGTGAGCTTTGCTCTAGGAGATGTCCTGAGAGAGCCTGTAAGAAATTTGGCCAGGTAGATTTGGGAACTGCTATAGATTCTAGCCCTTTCCACAGATGAATCATACATGTTACTGTTTTAGCAGCTTAGAGAAGTCATGGGGAGAAGTCTCCCTAGCCTTTTAAGCTTGGTATTTTCTAATCTCATTTGACTGTATAGGGTAACATCGTGCCTTGATGATGCTGTGATGAGGCTTCTAATGAGTTAATGTGTGCCAAGCATTTAGGACAGTGCTGAGCAAAGTGGGTCCCACAAAGGGGCTGCTGTAAGCCCGTCCATCCTTGTGCAGATATTTTTGTGGGAAAGATTTCTAGAAGAGGCACATTCAAAAATTTGATGGGATCAGGTGTGGTGGCTCACACCTGTAATCCCAGCACTTTGGGAGGCCGAGGCAGGAGGATTGGCTGAGCCCAGGAGTTTGAGACCAGCCTGGGCAACATGGTGAGATCCCATCTCTGAAGAAAAAAAAAAAAGTTGATAGATTCCTCAGAATTACTTTTCAAAATCTAATCTGCCATGATCTAAAGTTTGTTTCTCCAGGAAATAGATAAGCAGCTGTTTTCCTGTACCACATGTGTTCTGGATCCTTCTCCTCCTCCCTCTGCACCATAACTGAAGATGGGATGGAGCATAACTGAAAGTCACCCCTCTCTTCTCTCTCTTGCAGAAGCCTGGCTACAGATAAGGGACCAAAATGACTGACTCAAAATATTTCACCACGACCAAGAAAGGTATTACTTGTTTAATAATGGGCCTTGTCCTACGCTTTCTCTTCCTGTCCCTTCTGTTTTCCTCCTATGGCGGTAGGGAGTAGGGGTGGGAATGAAGGCCTGGAAACATGTGGCAGGAATGACCTAGAGCTTGTGGTAGATCTAGAAAATTGAACTGTTGATGATATAAGAAATTGACCACTCCTTTTAGAGCTCAGAAAGGGAAGAACATTAGCTCCAAGTGCTAAAATAATTATGTTTTTGTTTCCAGGGGAAAGAAGACACACAATCCTATCAGCATCCCCACAGCAGAGAGAGAGTGTGTGTGTGTGTGTGTATGTGTGTGTTTCCGTCCATGTACCTGTGTGTCCTTATCCAACGGCACATGTTTTTCTTTTTTTTGAGATGGAGTTTCACTCTTGTCGCCCAAGCTGGAGTGCAGTGGCGCGATCTTGGCTCACTGCAACCTCTGCCTCCCAGGTTCAAGTGATTCTCCTGCCTCAGTTTCTGGAATAGCTGGGATTACATGTGCCCGCCACTATGCCCAGCTAATTTATTTATTTATTTGAGACTGAGTTTTGCTCTTGTTGCCCAGGCACGAGTACAATGGCACCAATATTGGCTCACTGCAACCTCTGCCTCCTGGGTTCGAGCGATTCTTCTGCCTCAGCCTCCCAAGTCATGGGATTACAGGCATGCACCACCATGCCTGGCTAATTTTGTATTTTTGGTAGAGATGGCGTTTCTCCATACTTGTCAGGCTGGTCTCAAACTCCCAACCTCAGGTGATCCACCAGCCTCAGCCTCCCAAAGTGCTAGGATTACAGGTGTGAGCCACTGCACCTGGCAGTTTTTTGTATTTTTAGTAGAGATGGGGTTTCACCATGTTGGCCAGGCTGGTCTCAAACTCCTGACCTCAAGTGATCCACCCACCTTGGATTGAGTCTATTGAGTAGCTACACTGAAATTTGCTAAGCTAGGCTTATATCGTTGGATATTTTGGTTGTTTCTGCTTTTAAGGAAATGGAGGATGTTGTCGTAGCTGACAAATGTGCTTTGACCCTGTAAGCATCTTTCTGGCCAGCCCTTCCTTCCTCCCTCCTTCCTTCCAAGTGATACTGACACATGCCTGCCGACCAGATGAAAAGAGTCTGTTGTTGGATCAGCTGATCCAGGACCCGAAGTCTGCCCCTTATCAGGCATTTCATGTATTGGTCTAGCTGGTTTTTACTGAGAACCTACCATGTGCAGTGGAAGAGAAACAGAGCCTCTGACCTGGTGTTGCTCAAGGTTGAGCAGGGAAGACAGTCTGTAGAGTAGTAACCACACTGAAGTGTACTGGGTCCAGGGGGGACTGTGGGAGAGCTCTGGGTGGAGCTGGCCAGATCGATGGGGGATAGGAAGGGGAAGGAGTGAGTGCTGTGCCTGTGACACATTTGGGGAAAGGAAGGTAGTGGGCATGAGCTACCGAGGAGGGTGATACAAGAAGAGGTTAGAGCCAGGCACAGTGGCGCCCCAGGTGGTGGCTTGGGTGGGAGGATTACTTGCTTGAGCCCAGGAGTTCGAGTCTAGCCTGGGCAACTAATTGAAAAAAGAGAGAAAGCAATTGGAGAGGTACACAGGGATCAGTCTTGTGGGGCTTAGTGAGCCACAGGGTGAACGTAGTGCTGAGTGTATTGGAGTCCCAGGGGTGGGTTTTGTTGTTTGTTTGTTTTTTTTGAGACAGAGTCTCTGTCACCCAGGCTGGAGTGCAATGGGAAGATCTCTGCTCACTGCAGCCTCCTGGGTTCAAGCAATTCTCCCAAGTAGCTGGGACTACAGGCACGTGCCACTATGCCGAGCTAATTTTTTTATTTTGGGGTTGGGGTTTTTTAGTGGATTTCTTTTGGGAAGAGAGATGTGTGGACAGACATGCCTGGGTTCAATGCTCCAGCCAAAGAGACAAGGAAACAGGTTTAGGAAAGCAAAGTGAGTATCTTGGGTAGGCCCAAGCATAGGGATTGAGAGCATGGGCTTTGGAGCTAGCAGACCTGGTTTTGAGTTTCAGTCCTACCACCTGCTGGCATTGGGTTTACGTTACTGAGCCTCTCACAGCCTCCATTTGCTCACTGCGAAATGGAGGGAAATGCAGAGTTGTGAGGATGAAATAAGAAAATGTGTGGGAACAAGTTAGTATGGGACTGGGCTTAGAGAAGGGCTCAGGGGGGCTGGGCACGGTGGATCACGCCTGTAATCCCAGCACTTTGGGAGGCCAAGGCAGGTGGATCACCTGAGGTCAGGAGTTTAAGACCACCCAGGCCAACGTGGTGAAACCCCGTCTCTACTAAAAATACAAAAATTAGGAGGGTATGATGGTGCCCGCCTGTAGTTCCAGCTATCTGGGAGGTTGAGGCAGGAGAATTGCTTGAACCCGGGATGTGGAAGTTGTGGTGAGCCGAGATCGCACCGTTGCACTCCAGCCCGGGAGACAGAGTGAGACTTCGTCTCAAAAAAAAAAAAAAAAAAAAAAAAGCAAAAAACCATCTGCAGTGGCTCATGCCTGTAATCCCAAGGCTTTGGGAGGCTGAGGAGGGCAGACCACGAAGTCAGGATTTCAAGACCAGCCTGGCCAACATGGTGAAACCCCATCTCTACTAAAAATACAAAAATTAGCCAGGCATGACGGCACGTGCCTGTAGTCCCTGCTACCCGGTATGCTGAGGCAGGAGAATTGCTGGAACCCGGGAGGCAGAAGTTGCAGTGAGCTGAGATGGGGCCACTGCACTCCAGCCTGGGTGACAGAGCGAGACTCCATCTCAAAAAAAGAGAGAGAAGGGGTCAGGAAATGACATCTGCCCTCCTAACCTGTTATCAGGGTCCTGACTATCTGTCCATGGCAGGACCAGACAACCCTACTTCCTCATTTGTTTTTCTCACATCATGAAGTTCTTCAGAACAATTGATTTCATGCTTGAGCTCTCATGGAGCAGCTGAATTCCCATTTTCAGAGCTGAGCAACCACTTGTGTCTCAGGAAGTGAAATCCTGAGCAAGCTGTCTTAGAGGTTTGAGGAAAACAGGAAAGGCCTCCATGTGGGAATCCACAAATCCTGCTCTCACCCCGCAAGCCTTAAGTACTCAGGTTCTATTGCACTGAGCCTTTTAAGGGTCTTTTGTTGAGTGAGGGTAGCTGAGGACAGCTTTGCCTTCCACTGGGTTTTTAGCTCCCTGGCTGAGCAGAGCCTGCCATCATGTTTTTGATGCTTTTGTCTTCCTCAGAACCTTTGTAGCTTCCATGGTTCCTGTTGCTTCAATCCAGAGTGGCCTCTAAGTTTCTTTTTTTTTCTTTTCTTTTTTTTTTTTTTTGGAGAGAGGATCTCACTTTGTGTCACCCAGGCTGGAGTGTAGTGGTGTCATGGCTCATGGCAGCCTCGACCTCTGGCCTCAAACAATCCTCCAGCCTCAGCCTCCCGAGTAGCTGGGATTACAGGCTTGCACCAAAAAATCGCGCTGATTTTTTGTATTTTATTAGAAACGAGGTTTCACTACGTTGGCCAGGATGGTCTTGATCTCCTGGCCTCGTGATCTGCCTCCCTCGACCTCCCAAAGCGCTGGGATTACAGACATGAGCCACCGTGCCCAGCTGATCCTCAGCCTCTTAAAGTGCTGGGATTACAGGTGTGAGCGACTGCACCCGGCCTACAAGTTTCCATCTTGTTAATTCCTGTCCTAACAGTCATCCCTCACTGTTGCCTGGCCCACCTGAGGCCAGGCGCCTGAAGCTTCCCTCAGCCAACAGCATAGGATGTCTTACGTGCCTCCCTCCGGTTCTTTTGGAAGTTAGATACTGGGAATTGTCCCCTGCCAGGGTAGGGAGGGATCACTCATGCTTGCCTCCTTTCCTTAGGGGAGATCTTCGAGCTGAAGGCAGAGCTCAACAGTGACAAGAAGGAGAAGAAGAAGGAGGCAGTGAAGAAAGTGATTGCATCGATGACCGTGGGCAAAGATGTCAGGTGTGTAGGAGTAGGCCTGGTGGCAGCTGGAAGCTGGCTGACAGGGGAGGGTTTATAGCTTGGGTCCACTTCAGTCTCTCCTTTAGGGTGTCTAGGGACCCATGTCTCCCCTCATACAGCTCCCTTCATAAAACTTTCTTCCCAATAGAAGGTTTTGTTTACACAGGAATCACGAGCCCAGACACTGACAGGTCAGGTGGTGATGGAGTGAGTTAACTGGAGTAGGTGGGAAAGGCAGCAGGTGATGGAGTGGGTGTGGCATGAACCCTCTCAGAAACTCCAGAGGATCAGTACTGGCTGGGGAAGAGGACCCAGTGTGGCCAGGTCTTCTGGTTTTTAAAAAGAATGGGAAATCTGGGCCAGGCGCAGTGGCTCACACCTGTAATCCTAGCACTTGGGGAGGCCCAGGTGGGCGGATCTCGAGGTCAGGAGTTCGACACCAGCCTGGCCAATGTGGTGATATCCTGTCTCTACTAAAAATACAAAAATTAGCCGGGCATGGTGGCACATGCCTGTAATCTCAGCTACTCGGGAGGCTGAGGCAGGAGAATTGCTTGAACCTGGGAGACAGAGGGTGCATTCAGCTGAGATTGTGCCACTGCAGTCCAGCCCAGGTGACAGAGCGAGACTCAGTCTCAAAAAAAAAAAAAAAAAAAAAGAAGACGAAGAAGAATGGGAAATCTGGATTTTTCATTTTAAATCTCCCTGTCTTAAGTGGCCAGATGATATTAAACAAACACTGTGTGGTGCAAGTAAAATACATGTGCAGATTGGATTTCTCTAATTTGTCACCGGTGTGCAGCCTCTATCGCACCCGATAGCTAAAGCAGGTCGTGTGTAGAGCGGCTGCCGCACCTTGGCTCATGCTTCCCCTGTGGGAGCGCCCAGTGACCCAGCTTGTCTTCCCATCTTTGAAAACCCATTCGAGGCTGGGTGCGGTGGCTCACACCTGTAATCCTAGCACTTTGGGAGGCCGAGGAGGGTGGATCACAAGGTCAGGAGTTCAAGACCACCTGGCCAAGATGGTGAAACCCCATCTCTACTAAAAATACAAAAATTAGCTGGGTATGGTGGCGGGCACATGTAATTTCAGCTGCTCAGGAGGCTGAGACAGAGAATTGCTGGAACCCAGGAGGCAGAGGCTGCAGTGAGCTGAGCCTGCACTCCAGCCTGGATGACAGAGCGAGACTCCCTCTCAAAAAAAAAAAAAAAAAAACCATTCAAGGTCTGCCTTCCCCGCATTCCTGCCTTCCCTCATCACCCCAGCTCACTACCCCAAACTCAAAGCATTTGCCTCTGTTCCCATCACCCAGCACTAAATGGAGACTGTTCTCTTGTTATGTGTACTTGTGTTTACCTGCTCACCAGATTGTAAAATCTCAAAGGCAGAGACTGGATTTTAAAACAGCTTGATATTTGCACAGTATTTGAGAGTCTGCACAGAACATTTTGAGATTTGTTTTCTCAGTAGTTCCTTACAATTCCCATATTGTAGGTAATGACAGTTTTACTGCCAAAGAAATAAAAACATAAAGTGACTGCCTAAGAGTCACATGGTTTATGGCAGAACTAGGACTCAAGCCCAGTTCTTCTGAAATCCAAATCCAGGCCACTTTCACCCATGCCCTCGTGGTGCCCAGCCCTGTGCCTCATAACCTGGGTGCTGAGGTGGAGCAGCTCCCATCCAGGTCCCAAGATAGGCTCCCACTGCTCCAGACGTCCCCATGGATCACCCCCCAAGCAAAGGACCTCCTGCCAGCAGCTCCGGGAAGGGGCTCTGCAGAGAGCCCTTTGGAAGCCAGAGCAGAAAGGGAACAGGTACCTGCTGGACAACTGGGCCTCCTTCCAAGTCAGATTCCTTCCAGGACAAAGCTGCTCTCCTTCACCCAGAACACCACTGTCACCTCCTCACAGAGGAGAAACATCTTTGTTCTTCCATCTCAAAAGAGCTGGCTTTGCTGATATGATAAGCCCCAAAGAGCGAGTCGGCCTCATCAGCAGTTTTTCCTCCTCCCTCCTCCCCATTCTTCCTGGTGCGTCATCTTCCAAGGTGACACATACATTTTGGCTTTTGGGGATCTGCCTGTTGGGGATCAGGAAGTTCACTTTGTCCTCCTAAGTCTCTATGTTGACACGTCCTTGACTGTAAATACATAAGAATTGAGAGGGGATATGATGATTCCAGAGATAGAAAATTGATCTCTAACCAAATTTCACATCTTGAGAAGGCCTGTGACTCTGGGACCACGGGTACCATGTTGAGAAGGGTTCCACCCAGTGGTCATGAGCATGGACCTTGTTCTCAGACCTGGCTCCTCCAGGCAGGTTATTTGACATTTATGAACCTCAGTATTCTCTGAAATGGGGATCATCCCCTGACTTCTAAGGGCAGTTAAATGAGATCAAGCATGTAAAGCTCTTAGCACCAAGCTTGGTGTATGGTGTGTGCTCCATGCATGCTGTGCTGGTTCTTACTGGGTGCCAGAGCTTGTGGAGAAAGCAGCGTGAGCCATCCTGCTTCCCTGCGACCCTCCAGAACCAGCAGCCCAAAGTAAGGGGCCACATTAAGTATCAGAGAGGGAGAAAGGATCATTTTCATTTACTCAGCATCTCCCAGATATCAAGGACCAGATACCTAAGTATGTTGTCTCATTCAGTTATAAAGGCCCTGGGAAGTGAGTTTCAGTTGCATCTTTCTTTAGGACGGTCAGCTGGGTCTCTCTGCTAAACATCAAGTGCTGTGACACAGGCTCATACAAAAACTACTCCCTAGGACCCCCTATGCCCCCCTCCCCAGCCCCCACCTGCAGCAGTGATGCAGGAAAGCTGAACCCCTGACTCCGGTGGGCATTTGCTCAGCAGGGTGTCCACAACTCTGCCTGCCCTTCTGAAGCTGAGATGAGACAGTCAGCCCCATGCATGCAATGACAGGATGTCTGGAAATGCAGAGGCCCAAGGAAATTCATGTCTGGATCAGGTTTTCCCTTTGACTGTGGCCCAGGAATGGGAATGAGCTCCTGGGAGGGCGTTTGCTTCCCTAAAGAATGAAGTGGCATGGAAGGGGACAGGGATTCTCTACATTATAGGGTTGTGGTAACCCCAATCTCTTGGTGACCACAAAGTAAGAGCAGGGAGGCATCCTCAGGTGTCTCCAATGCCCCAGGGTCTCAGCAGCCACGGGAAGGTCCAATCTGACCACAACCACAACTCCAGGGGTCTCACTTCCATCCTCTCTGGTGTTGCTTTAGCCTGTAGGCTGAAGATTAACCCCCACCCTAATCGCTTGTGCTATCTATAGATCACAGACAATGGTGTGGAGAAATACTTGCCTTGCTTACCCCCACCTAGTCACGTACCCCATGCTTGCTCAGTCTATCACGACCCTGTCACCTGGACCCCTTAGAGTTGTAAGCCCTTAAAAGGGCCAGGAACTCTTTCTTCGGGGAGCTTAGTTCTGTTCTTGAGACGCAAGTCTGCCGATTTCCCGGCCGAATAAAGCCTCTTCCTTGTTTAACCCGGTGTCTGAGGAGTTTTGTCTGTGGCTCATCCTGCTACATTTCTTGGTTCCCTGACCGGGAAGCGAGGCAGCCTCTTAGGCAGCTTAGGCTTGCCCTGTGGAGCATCCCTGCAGGGGACTCCGGCCAGCTTGAGCTACGCGGTTCCTGAGCATGCTCCTGGGTAGGCATTTGCCCCGGTGCAATGCCTCGTCAGAGCAGTGCATGGCAGGCCCCCGCAGAGGATCAGTGCAGTGGCTGAACACCGGGAAGGAACTGGCGCTTGGAGTCCAGATATCTGGAATACGGTAGGACTGGTCTTGGGAACTTGCCCACTCCATTTGAGTGGAAGCGTGGCCTGATCACCCACGGCATGCCTTTATCGGCACTTTGGTTTTGGTTTTGATTTTGACTTGGTTTGAATTCCTAGGCAAACGGGCGTGCCTTTATCAGCACTTTGGTTTTGGTTTTGATTTTGACTTGGTTTGAGCTGCTTGACAGGACCGGTCTTGGGAACTTGTCCACTCCATTTGAGTGGAAGCATGGCCTGATCACCCACAGCGTGCCTTTATCAGCACTTTGGTTTTGGTTTTGGTTTTGATTTTCACTTGGTTTAAACTGCTTGACGAACGGGCGTGCCTTTATCTGCACTTTGGTTTTGGTTTTGATTCTGATTTGATGTGAATTCCGTGAACCCACTAACCCACGGATGGCCCAAATGCATTCAGTCTGTAGCGGCAACTGCTTTGCTGACAGAAGAAAGTAGAAAGATAACTTTTAGAGGAAACCTCATTGTGAGCACACCTCACCAGTTCAGAAGTATCCTAATTAAAAAAAAAAAAAAAGCAAAAAGGTAGCTTCATAACTCAAAAATCTTAAAGTATGGGGCTACTCCGTTAGAAAAAGATGATTTAACATAAACCCCTGAAAATTCCCTTAACCCAGCAGATTTCCTAACAGGGGATTTAAATCTTAATTACCATACAAAGGTCTGACCAGACCTAGGAGGAACTACCTTCAGGACAGGATGATAGATAGTTCCTCCCAGGTGATTAAGGAAAAAAAAACACAATCAGTATTCTGTAATTGAGGAAAACTCTTGTAGAAGCAGAGTTAGGAAAATTGCCTAATAATTGGTCTGCTCAACTTTGCCACTCAGCCAAGCCTTGAAGTACTTACAGAACCAGGAAAAAAAAAGCCATCTATACCAATTCTAAGTTAATTTGGACTAAGCAATGTCTTATTTATAGCAAAGGATAATTGAAATCCCACACTTACAAGGTTTTCAACAAAAGTAAAGTTGTTTTGCTAAAAGTTAACAGTGTAACATGTATTATGGTAATTTCTAATCTGTGGCCTTAGAAAATCTAGTCCACAGACATGAAGGAAGTTTGCTTTGGAAAAGAATGGTTATCATCTTCGAAAAAAGAAAAAATTGGGGGTGCAAAAGGAATGTTATATGGAAAATTCTTGTCCTGAAATAAACTAACTAGTTGTTTAAAGAAAGGGATGTTTCCAATAAGTCAGAAAGTTGAGGCATGTCGAAGAATTGTCTGTGAAAGTCATGAAAAAAAGTGTTAGAAAAAGAAATTTATGCAAGAAATGTTGTATAATTTAAATTAATTAGTCCTCCTGAATGTAAAACTATTGAAGAAACAGTTTATGTGCAAGGTGTATAAGGTAAGTAAAATATGCCTTTGGTAAAAGGATTATAAGGAAGCATAAGAATATGAATTTTTACCTACATTAAAAGGTTACAAAAATAGTTTTGAAGGTTTAAGCAAGTTTTGAAATGTTAATTGTAAAGAAAATTCTGTGTGTAAACATTGGCTAAAGTTAAAGGGGTATCATCCAGTTTTTCTGTGAACTGGACATTAAAATAAAAACACAACGGGTTTTTCTTAAAGCGCTAACCTGCTGTTTGACAAAAATTATAAAAGGTTAAAAAAGCCTATAAAAATCTTATGGTCAGACATTAAAAGTTGAATAAATATGTCTACAAAGTTTTATTAAAACTGTTTAACATTAATAACACTAATATAAAGGTGAAATCTAGCTTATCTGGTATAAACATACAGGAAGCATTGTCAAATATAAAATGGTGTTTGGCTTTCTTTGGTCTAAAAACTAATAAAAATAGGTGCTAAAGGAAATTTCTCAGTAAGAAGGCACCAAGGACTATAAAGTCCACTGCTGATGTCCCTACATTTAAAATAAAAGGTCCATTTCTTAAAAATTATATACTTGATTTATCTCCCACTTTCCTTTCCCTCAAAACTAAAAGTCTTTTAGCACATGTACCACCCCGAGAATTTCTGGTAAACCAGCACCAGCCTGAAGATCATGTTCTCATCAAAGGGTGGAAAGAAGGAAAACTCGAGCTGTATAAACATGTGGCTGCTGGGCCATTGCATGGTCTCTGTTGATGAGGTTCTGAATTTTTAATTGTATATATTTAAATTTATTTAACCATGAAGAGGCACATATATGACTGAGAACCACACTAGATGGGACAGCTCCAGAGATCCAGAAATGAGGAAGACAAGACTCCCCTATCCTGGTGTTTTTTTCTGCAGAATCGTTTGCTGCTCTGATCCTACCATACATTTAAGGTTACTTCCTGGGCATCTGCATAAGGGCCAGTCACTGTGTGGGGCTGGGGATATGACCATGAGGACAATATCCAGGTCCAGAGGGATTCCAGCAGGGGGCGCTCTTGCACCCAGTGGAAGAGCATGGCCCTGCACACCCTGTCTAGACAAGATCACAGCGGCAGGAGCAGAGAGGTAGGGGCAACTCGCTGTCCTCAGGAGCTCACCCTCATCTCCAGGGACCCTGAATCATAAGCTGGGCAGGCTCCAGGATGAGTGTGGGGCTCAATAGGCTGGACAGGCTGTGAAGAAAACCTTTCCACACCTGCACTAGATACCAGCCCAGGGGTGATCTAGAACTCATCTCTGGAGTGTGTTCATTAAAACATTCATGGGGCCTAATGTGTCTTCCCCAGGACTGAGCTCTGGGATAAGAACAAATGAGGAAGAGACAGTCACTGCCCTGGCAGCAAACACCCATGGCCAGGGTTCCTCTATCCATCTGTGGGAAGACCCCAAGTTTGATACTGAAGATGTTAAACCATCTCCAAAGTAAGTGGAAACTGAGGTGTTGTGGATTCGATGACCTGGACCCTAGGGTCAGTCCCCACCCCTTTGCTGAGCTCACCCTGCCCTGGAACTCGTGTCCCTCCCCACCTCCCCTGCTACTCGGGAGCGCTGCCACTGCCCTGGCCAAGAACTGGGGGGCTACGTCTAGTTGAAACATATTTCTGGGCCAGACAACCATTGGCCAACAGTGTCTACTGAAGGACCATTCCCCAGGTGACTTCCAGAAGAGGTGAAAAATGAAAACTTATCTGTCCCAGACCCAGGAAGATCAGGTCTGGGACCTCTCTGTGTCTGGCCTGACCCTGAAGTCCATCCCTACTGACTCGTGTCCTGTCTGCTCTGTGTCAGAAAAGTGGGGACCTGATTCCTGTTCTGCCCCTCTCACCAATTTCTGCTGGTGTCATTGCCATCATCACACAAAGAGATGGGGAAGACATGGTACAATAAGGAAGCTGCTTTCTCGAGGCACTTAGGATGATGTTCACACCATACTCTCGGCAGACAGGAAGGCCAGGTCCTGCTCACTCCAACTGAGGTGGGGGGATCACTTGAGATCAGGAGTTCCAGACCAGCCTGGCCAACATGGTGAAACCCCATCTCTACTAAAATTACAAAATACTAAACATAAGAAAATAGCCTCATTTATAACACAAACCCCCAATATATTATGTTACCCATGTCTTACCATCATTTCAAACAACTTTCAGATTTATTTTCAGTTCCTGATTTCTACCACTCAGACTGGGCTGGAGGAACTCTAAGAAACAGACTTCCTGCTGACCCTCCTGCTCCGACTTCTAGGCATGTCTTTGGTGCAAATGTGGGCTCCTCTTCCTCCCTCATGCAAATTAACTCTTAAAGATTAGTCCACCAAGTCTTCTAGAGATATCTACACAAGTCTGAATTTTAAGGTAAAAGTGGCTGAGATTTAAGTTGAGAGTCAGTGTGGCAGATTCCTGGCTCTTAAAGGTTTTTACTTTGAAGAAGATAAAATGCATGAATCCTACTAGGGCAGAAAGAGTTCACAATAGGTGTTTTGGTGACAAAGCACTTGTTCTACATAGCCCAAGGGTAAATGCCAATACCTATTCAGAATGGAGCAGGGAAATTGAAAATAAATTTGAACGCTTCTAATGTAAAACTTCTGTTTCATATCCTGGCTCTCAGCAGCTGAGTGACCTTGGGCAAGTTATATAACCTTTCTGAGCCTTCATTTTCTCACCCTAAAATGGAGATAATATCAATATTGTCTCCATCACTCCCAACCCCCTTACTATTTGGTAAGAATTACATGAGATAAAATATGTAACTAACACAGTACCTGGTACAAAATAAGGAGTCAGTTAATATTAGATCTTCTTCCTCCACCAGCTCAGCTCCTTTCCTCTTCCTTATCCAGGAAATACAGAAATATATGGATTCACCGTAGAAGCTGGACCCAGCTCCTCAGATGCAGCAGATGGATTGGCCCACTCTGTAATGACCCAGGATGGGGCGGGTGTTCTTCTGCATGGTGACTGAGAATGTGAGCCTCAGAATGAAATGTAAGAACAGCAGGCTCCATGAGGACTGGCTGCAGCCACAAACTGCAGGTCACTGTTCACAGGTGCTCAGTAGGAAGAGAGAGAGGCTTGTGATTTTTTTTTCACCCAGATGGAAATATGCATTCATAAAATGATTTGAGCTGGGTGTGGTGGCAGGCGTCCGTAATCCCAGCTACTCGGGATGCGGAAGCCGGAGAAGTCCTCAAACCTGGGAGCTGATGGGTTCATTGAGCCGAGATTGTGCCATGTTAACCCAGCCTAGGGGAAAAGAACAAGACTTTGTCTCAAAAAAATATATATATAGATAGATATATCTACAATATATCTATCTATATATAGATAGATATATCTATATATATCTATATATAGATAGATATATCTACAATATATATATCTACAATATATATCTCTATATATAGTAGATATATATATCTACAATATATATCTCTCTATATATAGATATATATCTACAATATATATATCTATATATAGATATATATATCTATATATAGATATATATATCTACAATATATATATCTATATATATAGATATATATCTACAATATATATATCTATATATATAGATATATATATCTACATATATATCTATATATAGATCTATATATCTACATATATATATCTATATATAGATATATATCTACATATATATAGATCTATATATATAGATATATATATCTACAAATATATATCTACTATATATATATCTATATATATATATAGATATACTTACAGAGGTAATCTTCGCGTCTCTCCTTTGCCTACAATAGGAGAAAGGAAAACGCCATGAGGATTAGATCATGCTGGGCCCTGTTGGCACAGGTCTATTATTCACTTGGTGACAGTAGAAAACAACATGTCAAACAGTGATCAAGTCACTGGCCCCCCGAATGAAGCATAGACGATGCTTGTGGAAAAGGCAATGGGTTTTCATGGAATATTTAGCAAGTCTTTGTTGGCTGGCAAATACAAAATTATTTTTCAAGAAGAAAAAGTTGCTACTGAGAAATATGCTCACTACCAGATAATTTGTAAGTGATGCGCTCATTTTTGACTACCATCATCCAACTGGCCTCAGTTGGTCATAAACTCCAGTGACAGTCGCTAGAGTCCATGATCAACCAAGACCTGGTGGATGACGGCAATCAAATATGATATTCCCTTGATGTTCCAGCCAACAAAAAAATTGTATTTGTCTTCTATAATATACATGGTCAGATTTTTATATCTTCATTTCATTAATAAGGCAAGAGGGCCCAGAAAAAACATTTCTGTTCCAGACAGAGAAATGCATCTTACCATCTCCGGTGTCATGAGGTCTTCAAGATGGACAGATGGGTATTCACTGAGATCTTCGACCAAATCTAGGAGAACATAGTGACAGTCAGTGCATTGGTGCTGCTGAGGAATCCCACAAGGAGCCTTGGGGGATGTGGACCGGGGCTGGAGTGTGTGGAGGTGGGCGGTTGACAAGCTTGGACCGAGCTGTTGCTGGACCATTCTCCTTGGTGTTGAAGGATGGCAAAGGAGAAGGGCAGAAGGAAATGAAAGAGCCTTGGCTTTCTAGCTAGAGCAACTTCATCAATGCGAAATAGTCACCTTAAGAACCGGTTAATACAGAAAAGCACTGTACTATAGAAACAGGAAGTACATTTGTGGCTGCCTAGATCCAGGGGCATGGGAGATGGGAAAAACAGGAGTGACTACTAGTGGGGTTTCTTTGAGGGGGGAATAAAGAGGTTCTAAGATGAGATTGTAACAATGGTTGCACAACCGTGTAAATATAGTAAAAACGCTGAATCACGTACTTTAAATGGGTGAGTTGTTTTGCATGTCAACTATGTCTAAATAAAGCTGTTTAAAAAAAAAAGTATATGTACAGACTTGACGCTGGGCTTTCGACTTTCTCTGCAATAAGAGAAAAAAAAAACACCATGAGGATCAGATCATGCTGGGTTCTGTTGGCAAAGGCCTTTATTCACTTGGTGAAATAAAAAACCGGATGTGAAACAGTGATCAAGTCACTGGCCCCCAAATAAAGCATAGAGGATGCTTGTGGAACATGCAGTGGGTTTTTTGGAATATTTAGCAAGTCTATGTTGGCTGGCAAATACAAAATTATTTTTCAAGGAGAAAAGGTTGCTACTGAGAAATACACTCACTACCAAACAGTTTGTAAGTGATGCCGTCCTTTGACTGCCATTTTCAATCAGGCCTCAGCTGGTCATAACCTCCAGTGACCGGTCGCTAGAGTCCATGACACTGAGGCCTGAATCATGATGGCAGTCAAAAATGATACTCACTTGATATTCTAGAAGCCCCAGAAAAAACAAAAAGCATTTCTCTTCCAGAGAAAGAAATACATCTTACAATATCTGATGTCATATTCTCCTCCACACCGCCGTGTGCAGACGCCTGCACATCTTCAATGGGACCTAGGAGAACATAGAGTGACAGTCAGTGCATTGGTGCTGCTGAGGAATCCCACAAGGAGCCTTGGGGGATATGGACTGGGTCTGGAGTGTGGAGGTGGGCGGTTGACAGGCATGGACTGAGCTGCTGCTGGACCATTCTCCTTGGTGTTGAAGGAAGGCAAAGAAGAGGGGCAGAAAGAAATGAAAGAGCCTTGGCTTTCCAGCTAGGGCAACCTCATCAATGTCACCTTAAGAACAGTTTAATACAGAAAGGCACTGTATGGTTCAGCGACAGCATCTCATCACACCTCCTCCCCATTTGAAGGTCCAGGCAAATCCCCAATTTTATGAAATGTTACAAGATCATTTAACTTCTGTGGATCTACATATCCTGCCACTACATTGATCATCTACCCTGTTGTGTTTTTCAAATTGTAGTGAAGCATGCATATTTATCATTTTAATTATTAAGTGTGCATTTTAATGAGATTACATTCAATGAGTTACATTCAGGATGCTGTGTCAATAATGAGAAATGTCTAAATTCATAATCTTAGCTTCAACTTGGGCAATGAGAGAAAAACAGCAGTGTGATATAGAACAGAGGAAAAATAAATAACGATTGCAGAATACAATGGAATAGGAAACAGAAAATCCTCAGAGAAAATCAACAAAACCAAAAGTCAGTTGTTTGAAAAGATCAGTAACATTGATAAACCTCTACCTTGGCTACCCACAAAGGAAAGAAAGAAGTCACAGTATACTAATAATATCTGTTTAAGAAGAGTCAAATCAAAAAATAGTAAATAATAAAGGAATATCCTGAACACATCTGTGCTCACAATTGGATACAGTAGATGAAATGGGCTAACTGTTAAAATCTATTTTAGAAGACCAAAACTCAGGAGAAATAGATCATCTGAATAGGCCTATATTTATTTTAGAAATTAAATCAATGATTAATATCTTTTCAAAAAACTAAAACAGTATATTCAGATGATTTCACTGGTAAATTCTACTGAAATTCTTACAAAGAAAAATGTAGTCTTACCATACAAGCAAGTAATCATAATCCTAAGTATTTCCTCAGTTACATTTTAAAAATTGTGTTTCCAAACAAGACACAGGAAGGTTTATAATAGCTGTATTCATAATTGACTAAACTGAAAGCAAATGTCTAAATATTTGAGATGTCCTTTACTATCAAAGTTGAACTAAGCCTGGGCAACATGGTGAAATCCCATCTCTACGAAAAAAAAAAAATTAGCTTGGTATAGTGGCACGTGCCTTATGGCCAGCTACTTGGGAGGCTGAGGTGGAAGGATCCCCTGAACCTGGGGAGGTCAAGATCGCAGTGAGTTGTGATTGCACCAATGCACTCCTGGGTGACAAATGAGACCTTTTCTCACACACACACACACACACACACACACACACACACACAAAAGAACAACTCTAACTTGTCAATATTACTTTACTTGTGTAGTTGTATCATCTACCATTGATTTAATGCATTTAAATTGGCACAAATGAAATAAATGAAGAACATGACATAGCATTTACTGAGTTTCTCTAATATGGAGCACTGAATGAATAAACTGGAATTATTTGCTTAAATGAACTTAATGATTTAATTTCCACATTACCTATATTTTCTAGAGGCCAAATCCCGTGCCGTCTCCATATTATTTTTAACCAGCGCTTGGAGCGGGCGTCCAAACCTGCAAGGTAGAGCAGACTTCTTATAGATTCCAGGAAATGTATTATAATAAAGACAGTGCTTGACATGTTGCTGGCAGAGGATAGCAGAGAAATTAGTAAAAACTTATTCACAGATGAAAGTTTTGATCCCGGTTTGCACCGTCTGCTTTTCAACTCTACCTGAATTAGATTTGGGTTCTAGGAAGATTTTGCAAGGTTTGTTGCACTTAAAACAGACTGTGCAGGCAGATACCTTTATTTAGATGAGACAATATAGAAAAGCAGCAGATCCAAGTCACCAAGAATGGCCTGGGTTCAAATGCTACTTAGAATCTGCACATACCTGGGAGAGTGAAATGAACCCCTCTGTGCCTCAGTTCCCTATTCTGAGATGTGGGAATGTTAGTAGATCTCTGCTATAGACCTACTAAGATCTATAGGGCTAAAAAGGATGAGATACAGATAAAGGCTTAAGAAGACTCATGAGTTGTAAATGCCCAACAGTGTTCAATCATTCAATGTCTGGAAGAATAATCCAGATACTTGGTAGTGTATAGAATACAGAGAGGGAGCGTGTATGGCTCCCGGGCAGGGGAGGGTGGAAGGTGACTTCACTGTTTCCATGGGCATGATGCTTTCCAGCTCATGAAAGAGATGTGTTATTTCTTTTTTTTTATTTTTTTTTTTTTTTTTTTTTTTTTTTTTTTGAGAAGGAGTCTCGCTCTGTCCCCCAGGCCGGACTGCGGACTGCAGTGGTGCAATCTCGGCTCACTGCAAGCTCTGCTTCCCGGGTTCACGCCATTCTCCTGCCTCAGCCTCCCGAGTAGCTGGGACTACAGGCGCCTGCCACCGCGCCCGGCTAATTTTTTGTATTTTTAGTAGAGACGGGGTTTCACCTTGTTAGCCAGGATGGTCTCGATCTCCTGACCTCGTGATCCACCCGCCTCGGCCTCCCAAAGTGCTGGGATTACAGGCGTGAGCCACCGCGCCCGGCCGAGATGTGTTATTTCTTTGATCCCCACATTAGCCCCGAGGGACGGGCAGAGCAGGGGCTACAACCCGTATTTTCCAATTCAATGAATTAAAACTTAGACGTTTTGAGTGACTTGCCCAGAGTTACCACAGTGAGGCATGAAGATGTGGGGCAAGAATGTAGTTGGTTCCCTGGGGACAGAGATCCAGGAACATCTGAGTCCTCTAGATCATGCCCTGGACCCTGAACTGAGAGCTCTTCTCAAAAGCTTTGTCAAATCCTGCTGCCCCAATATTTCTTTGGGATGGTTGATGCCCTGGAGAGGTGGCAGGTGGCTTACTGCATTTACTCACCTGCTCTATTATCCCTGCGTCTTCACTTTGATTAGCTTTATGCCCCATAAGACAAACATTTAAAGTCTCTCAGTTATGATGCACAGTCTGGGATTTTACCTAAATCCACTCTATTTTGGGTGATTTTACCTAAATCACCCATCAGGTGATTCTCATCTGCTGGCCTGGAGGTGGCCTGCCATGTAAGAGGACACACAGCATACCATGGAGCTGCTGCGTCCCCCAGTCCTGTGCACACTCACGCCTTGCTTCTGCTTTCCCTGCTCCGACAATCCTAATTCTGGCTTCCAAAGCAATCCTGTACTTCCCTCTCAGTTCTCAGACTTGCCTAAACTGTTTAACGTTTTAATCAATGTTGTGACCATGACTGAGCTGTGACATTTGATATATCATAGTATATTTTTATCCATTTATAGATTTGTTAATAGCATTTAACTTCATTTTTCAGAGTTTTAGGAACATTTCTGGGCTAGGTGTCCTGGCACATGGCTGTAATCCTGACATTTTTGGAGGCTAAGGCAGGAGGATTGCTTGAGGTCAGAAGTTTGAGACCAGCCTGGGCAACATAGTGAGACCTCTTCTCTATAAAAAATGTTTTAAAAATTAGCCAGGTGTGGTAGTGAGCTCTTGTTTACCTAGGTACGTGGAAGACTTATGTGGGAGGATTGTTTGAGCCAAGGAGTTTGAGGCTGCAGTGAGCTATGATCAGGCCACTGCACTCCAGCCTGGGTGACAAAGCAAGACCCTGTCTCTTAAAGATAAAAAGCATTACTGAGTTACAAGTATCTCCATTTTATTTCTCATTATCTAATGTTACTGTTTTAATCCTGAGGCTTAACTACTTTAATAAACTAAAGGAAATTTTTTTTAAAAGAGGTAGTATTCAAAGCAGCTCATATGCACCTTGTAATAAATTCTAGTTTTATATGCCATGTCTAGAATTTACATTCTTGATCTGACTCTTATTTTTTCAAACCTTGAAAAACTCACTTTATACTTATTAGAACCAGCCTTCTCATATGTGACACAAGGAAAATTCTCATATTACACCTAACTTAAAACATTGAGAGGATCAAATAAAATGCAAGAGCAGTCTATTTACTACATAATGCACAATCAATTACAAAGCAAAGCTTCTGGGTGAAAAGTAAACAGTTAACATCCTTTGGAAAACCCATAGCAAAATAACATTTTGAGAAAACACGCACTTTGGCTACCCACTGAAGTTAAGGAGAAAACAGTCACAGGTCAGCATCAAGAATTCCCCAGCGTTGTTTTTTTGTTTGTTTTAATAATCACACATTATTCCCCCTGCTTTCTTTCATGTATGTTACCGCATGTTCTCCCTTTTTGCTTTTCTGTGTAACCTATCTTGGGAATCACTCCATAGCAGTAAAATGACATCTTACCCTTGTTTACAGCTCCATAGTTCTCCTTTAGGTGGAAGTACCAGTTAATTTTACTAGTCCCTTACTAGACATTTCAGTTATTTCCAATATTGAGCTATTGAAAATAATGCAACAAGGACTTTGTGCATAGGTTGTTTCATATTTATGGAGTATACCCTCGGGATAAAATGCCTCAAAGTAGGATTTCCGGTTTAAATGCATTTGCAAGGTTGTGAGATTGTGCCAAATTCCCCTTCGTGGAGTCGAGCCATTTTGCATTTCCACCAGCAATATATGCATGCAACTTTCCTTACAGCCAAACCAAAGAATGTATTGCCACGTTTTTGGAATTTCACTTAATAGGAGAGACACTGCAGTATAGTTGTCATTTGCCTTTCTCTTATGTGTGAAGATGTGTTTAAGGATCGTCTGCATTTCTTTTTCTGTGACTTCTCTATTTATCACTTTATTACCTACTTTTAGGATCACTTGACTCTAGAGATTCTCAAGTCAGCCTATTTCAGGTCATGATCGTCTGTCTGTTCACTGTTGACTCTCACCTGCACTTCGCCACCAGCCTCCTAGCTGGTCTCCCTGCTTCCACCCTTGCCTGCATTACAGGACATTCTCACACAGCCGCTGGTCAGTCTTCTTCTTGGAGAATTAACAGTAATCCCCAGGCTGTAATCCTCCAGTGGTTTCCCATCTCAACTAAAGTCCATATTCTTTGTCAATGCTCACTACGTGTACGAGGCCTTAGCCCATCATATTCATTTCACTCTGCTGCAGCCACCTTTGTGTCTTTCTGTCCTTTTCCCAAAACAAGTTTGTTCCCATTTCAGGAATTCCAAAGAAGAAATTCCTCTCTGGAAGCCCTCTCCCATCATCCTCACAAGGCTCCGCCTCACTTTTCAATTTATTTTTAAAAACAAATAAGATGGGATCTCTCTATGTCTATGAAGGTGGGGACCTTCTGTCTTATTTCAAAAAGAAAGGGACATAACAAGAACCAAGAGGCAAAAAACAGTCGTGAGAGTGTAGTCAGAGCTCCTCCTTCCACTACCAGCTACTGAAGGCTGCTGGCCCTGCCCAATGGCTAGTACCCACAAAGCCTCCTATGTCACCTGGTTACCAGGAAACAACCAAGTCAGGCTAGTGGCTCACAATGGCCGACCCCACAGACCCAACCAATGGCTCACACCTCCCTGCTGCTGCCCACCTTGTGGCCACCCTGTCCCTCTGTGGTGACTGCACTATTCGTCCTGGGCTGCCTGAGCTTTCCAGTCCTGAGAAAAGTGCAGGGGGGCGGGGGTTGTTATTGGAAGTCACCCCGGGCAATGAACTCAATGGAAAACCCTGGTTACTAAAGTCAGTTCCATTAGCATCTCTGTTTTTCTGAGTCTGGCAGCTTTCGTTTGCTCACCAAATGTAGTTATACACAAATTTCGGACTGCTTTGTAAGTAAATGCTTCTCTCCTGTCTTACAAGTGTTAGTTTTTGTCTTCAACTTGACCATAGCAACTCCTAG
Organism: Homo sapiens; assembly: GCF_000001405.40. Classification (NCBI taxonomy): domain Eukaryota; kingdom Metazoa; phylum Chordata; class Mammalia; order Primates; family Hominidae; genus Homo; species Homo sapiens. The sequence goes on along the minus strand of NC_000022.11, from coordinate 29,402,580 downwards.
AGCCCTGGTCCCACTCTCGATAAAGCGTGATGACTGTGACTTGAATGAAACCCTAGGACACATCACACTTTCCCTTCCTTGTCTATAAAATAGGGACTGAACTCATCCTTCCCAGTTCTGAAATGCTAGGACCTACCAACTCTCTTTTCTCCCTCTGTTTCTTTCTTCCATGGCAGGGATATTCAGATATTTCTTTTACTAACAATGCATAAAGCGTGTTTTTCTTATACAAAATTGAGAACCACTGTCCTCATTTGATGAAGATGAATAGTAAATATCTGGCAAGCCTGACAGTGTTCCAGCTGTGGTATACTAATTTAACCCCCAGAAACCATTCCATTTTATGGATTTTACAGAATCAATCTAGATGGAGAAGTTAAGTAGCTTTCTCCAAGTTTCCATGACGGCTCAAGATGGGGCTAGGATTTAATCCTGAGTAATCTTGATCCCCACAAGCCGATCATGGTTATCAGAAAGTAAAGGTAGACGTCATGCTTGGAGGGGCAGTGACCTTGTAGATTAGTATTTTTTTTAAAGAATAACAGTTTTTTGATGTGGATTTTAAAATGCCTCCCCTTCATTCAACATTAAGTCTAAGTGCCAATACTGCATGTGTGAAACAGTCCCAACCCTCCGTGAGTTCAGGCAGATGAGCAAACAAAGGCTTAGAGGATTCAATTGTCTGAGGCTACACTGCTGGACAGTGAATCAACCTGGAATGAAAACGCAGATCTATCTGACCCAAAATTAGATGCTGGGGTAGAGTTTGAATTTTATTCTGGAAACGAGAGTCACTGAACCACACAGGGGTGAAGAGTCTCTATCCGATGTGTTTGCAGTGACGTCACTCTGCGCAGTGGAGAGGGCTTTATGAAAGCAGTGGGGCTGATTAAGATACTCTATGTTCATCTGGAGAACAGTAAGGCTAAAAAGGCAGCAGCAGTGACTGAAGTGGAAGGAAAAGTTTTGTGATCAGCTGGGAGATAGAAGAGGAAGTGCTTGGTGATTAGACGTGGAAGAAGAGGGGAAGGAAAAACAGGCTGCTAAGGCCCTAGTTTGATGGACTGTGTAAATAGCAGTGATTCTCCCCTAGACAGAGAATGTAGGACGAGAAAGAGGTGTGGGGAATGAGACAGTTTTGAACTCTTTAAGTGTCACATTGAAATGGAACCGTCTGGTTGAAAATTGGATATAAACCTCTGTAGGCTAAGTCCATTCTGTGACATCCCAACTCATGTTTTCAAAAGTAACACACACACAGTAACTCAAATCATTAAGGAAATTTCCTAAAATTTACATACTAAGAATATGACAATTTTTTAGTGATTACTTTCTTAGGGAAACTTTGAATTTATGGTTGTAGCGAATGAGGTGTCACGTAAAATAAAACTGTTATATAAGAACAACATTTAAATTCTATTGTCATAACAGCATATACAATACAATTGAAGCCATGGGTATGACCGTGACTGCTTTAAAAGGCTGTGTCTAATAAGGGGAGGGGTTTGGAGAGAAAGGAGGCTTGGGGAATAGGGAAATGTACGTGGCATGAAGTAAAGACTGCAAAAGTGAAAAGTGAGAGTCAAGGCACCTGAGTGTTCATCAGCAATGGCTGATCTGGTGGGTCTCATCGGAATGGAGGTGGTGTCTGCTTCTCATTTCTGTAATGGCCTCACCTAGCACAGGGCCTGGTCAGTAGGTACTTTATACCTAATACCCCAATCAACAGAGCCATATTTTGCCAAGAAGGCAGAAAAGCCACAGATGCCATTGCCTGTGGCAACTCAGTGATTGAGGATGTGTGTGAGTAAGCTGAGCGTCAGCAGTGGGGAAAGAGTGAACTAGAGGTGAGAAAGTAAAGACATCAACTGAGGGCTTCTCCTCCTAAAAGTATGGCTGAAAAGAGAGATGTGGGAACAGTTGAAGGGAGATATATGGTTAAGAAAGCTTTCATTCCCCCCCCATAAAGATGAGTATACTTTTATCCTAAATGGTAAGAACCAATAAAGGAAACATGTTTACAATTGGAAGAGAGGGAGAATTAATAACACATGATGCCCAAGAAGGCACAAGTTCATGCAATCCAGAGTGAGGACAGATTAGCTTCGGACTGATACAAAATCAAGAAGGGAGAAAGCACTGTGTGACTAGAGACATTTCTTCTAAAGGAGAGGTTTACAAAAAGCTCTTTTCATGACCAGCTCTCTGAATAGACTTGTCAGATAACTACTCTAGGAAAGAGGCAATTATGTATAGAGAAGTCTACACTTTAGAAAAGCTTGATAGGCCGGGCGTGGTGGCTCACACCTGTAATCCCAGCACTTTGGGAGGCTGAGACGGGTGGATCATGAGGTCAGGAGATCGAGACCATCCTGGCTAACACAGTGAAACCCCGTCTCTACTAAAAATACAAAAAAATTAGCCGGGAGCGGTGGCGGGCTCCTGTAGTCCCAGCTACTTGAGAGGCTGAGGCAGGAGAATGGCGTGAACCCAGGAGGCGGAGCTTGCAGTGAGCCGAGATCGCGCCACTGCACTCCAGCCTGGGCGACAGAGCCAGACGCTGTCTCAAAAAAAAAAAAAAAAAAAGAAAAGAAAAGCTTGATACACCTTACAATCCCCAAATAATGGCTTTCTTCAACAGTGAGTAAATTGAAAAGCAATTTGAGCAAAAACCCAGAGGCTCAAATATGAATAGGTGCATCACAAAAGTTGAAGAGGGGGCTAATTAACTCCCTCAAAGAGTTAAAAGAAAAAGCAACAACTGCGAGAAGAGTGAAAAATAAGAATAAAAGTATATGTAGTTGCAAAAAGTCTGAATGTTTACAAACCCTGTGACCACAAAAGGGGCCACAAAAGGGGCCACAGGGAGTGTTATCACAGGAGGAAAACGGTTGCTTCAAAAAGCAGAGGAGCAGGGGTAATAAAGATTCCATTTAGTTGAAAAGATTTAAGTAAAGTTTGAGGACAGTTAGGTGACATGTTGAAATGTGGAAAACCACAGTGGAAGGGGAAAAGACCCGATAAAGTTCAGTTTCAGCAACCAACATCCGATGAAATCCTCAGGACCCAGTGACTGCATTCTATGTCAATAATAATATTGGCTGAGGTCCCAGGAATGTCATTAGATACCATTTTGGATGATTCTTATGGACTTGAGGTGAGGTCTATTTTGTTCCAAATCAGTGCCTCCATTTAACAACAGACGTACACAAAAATACGTATCCATGACCAAGAAAACTGAAGAATTTTAAACTTGCTAAGCAGGACTATACTGGGAAGCATTGTCATGAAAATAGATTTTAAAACTTTTTTTTTTTTTTGAGGGGAATTCTGGAGCACATTTAAAAAAACAAAACACTATCCTTCTATGACAGGTGCAAGTTTGGGAGAGCAAAGGAAAGCAAATAGAAGTAATGTGACTTAAATTAATCAATACTTTAATTCTATGAAGGAAGCTGAAACCTTATTTATTGGTGAGTCTGAAGTAAATTCATTTATTCACCTATTCATTCAATAGTCATTCAATACCTGTGCCCTTAACACGTGACACACACTTTGTAAGTGTTCTGGAGGTCGCTTTGACCAAGATAAACAAGATTTCTGTTCTTGTGTAACTTGTCTTCTAGTAAGGGAGTCAAGAGACAGTGTGGCCCATCCCTGCTATCTTTGTGGCCTAGGGTGGCTGTTGATCTTCAGCTTTTGTATATTCGTTCCAGAGAGCAGGATGGAGGACAGGAAGAAGAAGGAAGATTTTCTGGAAGTTCCACATAGGACAGTGCTTACAAATCATTGGCTTAAAGGTTAGTCATATGGCCATACCTAGCTACACGGGAGACTAAAAGAAAAACCATAATCATCACAATGATTGATGACTACGGTGTGTTCTTTGTGCACCACGCATAGTGCATTGCCTCCTTTAGGCCACATAGCAGCCCCGAGGAATGGGCATCAGAGGAGACAGAGGCACAGAAAGGGCAAGTGACTTGCTCAGGGTCACACGGCTAGAAACAGCAGAACCTGGGTCCCGATCTAGATCCATGTGGCTGTCCTATCTTCCTCCCAGCTCAGCTCCTTTCCAACTGCACGAGGATTGCATGCCCTCAACTACGAAATGGGGATAACAACTGTGCCTGCCCCGTGGGGATATTTTGCAGATTAAGGGAGCCAGTCCAGTTTCATGATTTTTGCGTGGAGTCTGGCACATGGTGAGTTTTTGGCAAATGGCACCGCCATCATCATCACCATCATCACCATTATTACGAGTCCTAGCTGGAAGCCAAATGAGTGATCATCCAGTCCAGTCCCCTTGTTGTACAGATGGGAAACTGAGGCCTGAACTGGGGTCAGTGGATCACTGTTGGTAATTAGCAAAGGAGTAACAGAGATCTTCATGAGGCTGAGGCCTGCCATCTCCAGCCTTCCCACACCCCCATGAGTGCAGCCCCAGTGGTGGTCTCAGATGGCACTAACCAGCTTCGTACCACCAGCTGCCCAGGGTAGAGCGGATGAGCCACAGCACTGAGAGCTCTGACAGGTGCAGCTTGCTGCTTTGCGTGGGGAATTTGCCCTGCTCGATGTGGGAGACCCCTCGGGCAAGCCAGATGCCAACCCCCCCTTCCATGGATTCTTCCCACTTCCCAGCCACCCTGTCACACTGAGGGCCATCATTGTCCCCTTGGACATGGCCTCAGAGCCCCCTGGGAACTAGCCAAGGCCCGGGCTGGAGAGTCTGGGTGTCATGAAGTCCAGCTCAGCCCCAGATGGAAGCTCAGCTTCCACATGCCTCTTTACCCAACTAGAAGTGGGCACTACTCAAGCAGGGTCCCAATCTGCATGCAGAGACCCAAACCCCACTCCTGGGAGCATGTAACCCTATCCCAATAGGAGAATGGGGGTTAACACTCACCCACAGAGTCCCATCACCACTTTTGTTCCCAGAGTGCCCCAGTTCCAAGATGCCCACTTATCAAAAGACCCTCTATTGATACAGAAGATCTGGTTTTTAGGTCCAATCCTGGGTTTTCTTTTGTTCTGTTTGGCCCATCGGTCGGCAGGTAACTGCAGTTTCTTGCTGTTGGCACTGGCTTGGGAAAAGTCTGTCCTCGTCCAGCCACTGGTAGCTACAGGGCGGTTAGGAAAACTGGACTCTGAGCAAGTCCCACCAGGAGGACCCAAGGCTGATGGGTTTTGGAGACCTCACGCTCTAAGGACCTGCCTTAGAGCTGAACCAGTTGAAGACCTGAATCAGTGTATCCCCCCAATTCAGTCAGGGTTCAAGCACAGAAACGGAAACACCAGGGCATATAGATTAAGAGATTTGTCTCAGTTGTTGAACTTATGTCATTGTGGGAACTACTTAAGAAGTTTCAGGTGGCCGGGCGCGGTGGCTCAAGCCTGTAATCCCAGCACTTTGGGAGGCCGAGGTGGGCGGATCACGAGGTCAGGAGATCGAGACCATCCTGGCTAACACGGTGAAACACCATCTCTACTAAAAATACAAAAAAAATTAGCCGGGCGCGGTGGCAGGCGCCTGTAGTCCCAGCCATTCGGGAGGACTGAGGCAGGAGAATGGCGTGAACCCGGGAGGCGGAGCTTGCAGTGAGCCGAGATCAAGCCACTGCACTCCAGCCTGGGCGACACAGCGAGACTCCGTCTCAAAAAAAAAAAAAAAAAAAAAAAAAAAGAAGTTTCAGGCTGGGTGTGGTGGCTCACACCTGTAATCCCAGCACTTTGGGAGGCCAAGGTGGGTGGATCACTTGAGCACATGAGGCAAAACCCTGTCTCCACAAAAAATACAAAAATTAGCCAGGTGTGGTGCACGTGCCTGTAGTCCCAGCACTTTGGGAGGCCAAGGCAGGAGGATCACTTGAGGCCAGGAGTTCGAGACCAGCCTGAACTACATGGTAAGACCTCCCTCCAACCTCTATTTTTTTTTAATTAATACAAATTAAATTAATACAAAAGCTCCCATTTAAGGGGGACTTATAGATGCCAGGCACTGTACATTAGTTCTACAATTTAATCTCTACAGCAACCTTGCAAGAAGGCACAACCAACCTATGTTAGTCTGTCTTGTGCTGCTTTAACAGAATACCTCGGTAATTTATAATAAACAGAAATGTATTTGGCTCATGGTTCTTGAAGTCCAGAGTCCAAGGGCATGGTGCCAATATCTGCTCGGCATCTGGTGGGGGCCTCCTTGCATATTCCCATGGCAGAAAGAGAGAGAGTGAGAGAGAGTGCAAGAGATCTAACACACAGCCTCAAGCCCTTCTGTGATTGGCATTAATCCACTCATGAGAGTACAGACTTCATGACCCAAACACCTCCCATTAGGCCCCACCTCCTAACACTGTTGCAGTGGGGACTGCCAACATGTGCTTCCTGGGGGATGCATTCAAACCATAGCAAGTCCCATTTTTCAGACTGGAAACTGAAGTCCCATAGCTGAAGATCTGAGCCCAGGTGGGGTTGAGAGCCTGGGCCTCTTCTCTTCTCTTTTCTCTTATCTTCTCTTCTCTTCCTTCTCTTCTCTTCTTTCTCTTCTCTTCTCTTCTCTTTTCTTTCTCTTCTCTTCTCTTTTCTCTTATTTCTCTTCTCTTCTCTTTTCGACAGAGTCTCGCTCTGTTGCCCAGGCTGGAGTGGACGGGCATGATCTCAGCTCACTGCAACCTCTGCCACCCAGGTTCAAGTAATCCTCCTGCCTCAGCCCCCCTAGTAGTTGGGATTACAGGCACTCACCACCATCCCCAGCTAATTTTTGTGTTTTTAGTAGAGACAGGGTTTCACCATATTGGCCAGGCTGGTCTGGAACTCCTGACCTCAGGTGATCCACCTGCCTAAGCCTCCCAAAGTGCTGGGATTACAGGTGTGAGCCACTGTGCCCATCTGAGAGCCTGGGCTTTTTCGATGCATCGGCGGAGGGTAGTTCAGCACAGGGGTACCTGAGAGAGCAGAGCTCTTCAAGAGGGAGCCTGTGGTGTACAGCTAGGAGGGGCTGAGCAGGAATTTGCTACTGGGAAGACTAGAAATGGTGCACTGAGGACATCTGCAGCAAGGAGAGCTGGAGGCAAAGGCTGGGATCCCTGGCAAGCTCTAGGCCTCTCTGCCCTGGGGGTTGTGCCAGGCCTGGGCTGGGCGGGAGGGATGGGAAGCTGCCTGCCCTCAGCAAGCAGGTGGAGGCTGGTGTTCCTGAGGCTATGGACAAAGCCACCTCCTGCCTCCTTTTAGAAAGGCTCTGTGGCAACTTTTAGAGATTTGCAGGATGAAAACAACAAAAACCAGCAAGCAAACAGAGACTGGAGTAGAGGAATAGTAATCACAGAGGAACAAGAGTGCGGAAAGGCTGGGAATGTATATAGAAAGGCACAGCGGCCCCTGTGAAAGGATGGCAATTGAAGGGAACGGTGGCGGTTAGTGGCACCTGTGCGCACTCTAGTGGGCGCAGAGGGGAAGAATACTTAATTTGTTCATGTACTTATGCACCCATTCATTGTGGAGGGAGGATGGGAAGGACTTTGCTCTGAGATTCTGAGTATCAGAAAGGGGAAGGGACTTGCTGAGGGTCACAGAATGCCAGTGGCAGGGGTCACAGTGGGTCATTTCACGAGACCGCACGAACTCTCAACCTTCCTGGCATTGGATGAAACCTCATGAAGCAGGTAAGGGTGAGTGGAGAAGAAAGCATGAGGCCTGCCGTCATCAGCCCTGGCCTTGACTCTCCGCTAGGCCCATTGCTGCTTTGGGAAGCTGGGAAAGTCCCTCAACATTTCAGGACTTCAGTGGCCTCATCTGTAAAATGGGGTTATCTTAGCATCTACCTATTGAGAACGGTGAGAGTTAAATGAATTGATGGATGTCAAGGGCATACAACGATGCTTGGCCCATGGTGGGTGCACAGTTCGCAGAGAAGAGAAACTGAGGCCCAAAGAACTGGCCAGGCCCGGTGCAGTGGCTCACGCCTGTAATCCCAGCACTTTGGGAGGCCAAGGCGGGCAGATCACCTGAGGTCAGGGGTTCGAGACCAGCCTAGCCAACATGGTGAAACCCTTTCTCTACTAAAATACAAAAATTAGCCAGGCATGGTGGTGGGTGCCTGTAATCCCAGCTACTCGGGAGGCTGAGGCAGGAGAATGGCTTGACCCCAGGAGGTGGAGGTTGCAGTGAGCCAAGACCGCACCACCGCACTCCAGCCTGGACGACACAGCGAGACTCCGTCTCAAAACAAAACAAAACAAAACAAAAACAACAACAAACAAAATTAGCCAGGAGTGGTGGCACAGGCCTGTAATCCCAGCTACTCGGGAGGCTGAGGCAAGAGAATCACTTGAACCCAGGAGGCGGAGCTTGCAGCAACAAAAGCGAAACTCTGTCTCAAAAACAAAGAACTGGACAGCCCTGTCTCCACCAGCCAGCTCAAATCGGGCAGGGTATAAAAACACTGGGGCTTGGAGAAAAGTTTTAAAATGTCCTGGCTGGGCACAGGGGCACATACCTGTAATCCCAGAACTTTGGAGGCCAAAGCAGGAGGATCACTTGAGGCCAGGAGTTTGAGACCAGCCTGGGCAACATAGTGAGACCTCATCTCTAAAACAAATAAAAATAGGCCGGGCGTGGTGGCTCATGCCTGTAATCCCAGCACTTTGGGAGGCCAAGGCGGGCAGATCATTTAAGGTCAGGAGTTCCGAGACTAGCCTGGCCAACATGGTGAAACCCCATCTCTACTAAAAATACAAAAATTAGTTGGGTGTGGTAGGCAGATTGGGCAAAAAGAGTGAGACTCTGTCTCAAAATAAATAAATAAATAAAAATAAAAACTAGCCAGGAGGTAGTATTATTGTCAGGAAGTATGTATTTCTTGGGAGGAAGCCAGCGCCCTCTCTCTCTCTCTCTCTCTATCCAGGTGGGCTTGGCTACCATTGGCTCTGCTCCCCACATCCTAGGGCAAGGAGTTTCTCCTGGGCCTGGGGTCTCAGAGGGCCGGGGCACCCACATGTGCCCCAGGTGTGGCAGTTCCAGTTGTAGCTGTCAGCATTTGATGGTGTGGATGACTCAGGCAGTGTAGCTAGGTGGGTTTAGTGGTGGGGGCAGAGAGGGAAGTTCCCTTAGATGCTCCCTTCCCCACTTCTGTCACCCACCTCTGCAAGCTGTAATTATCCAGCCTTTTACTTTGAACTGTACTTCCTCTTACTAGTATATTTTTAGCTCTCCTGCCAGATCATGCTGTGGGAGAGCAGGTCCAGGCCCTCATGGAAGTAGGGAAGAAATCAGTTCTACCCACTGGTCTTTTCCTTATCTCTACTTGGGGACAGTCATGGAACTGTCATGGAATTATTGGGAAAGTTTAATGAGTTAATATGCAGAGGCGCTTCACACAGTGCCTGGTTAATGGTTAACTATTAGTAGTAGTCTCACCCTTCACAGTTCAGGTTGGGTGTCACTTCCTCCAGGAAGACTTCCCTGACTTTCCCAGGCTGAATTTGGTGCCTGCATCCCCTGTGCCTCCCTGGTACTTCCTACCACTCTGAGTTATAATTGTCCCTTTGTTTATCTTTCTCCCATACTCAACAGTGAGCCCCCAAGGGGGGATTGTGCCATACCCTGTTCACTGTTGCATCCCCAGTGTTCCTGGCTCAGATGGCAGTGATGATTATATTTTAGGAGAATGAATGAAACTCATGACAGCTGGGGCTCTGGGACCAGGCCCTCAGCCTTGTCACTCACATGCTATTTAAGTTCTCAGGGTTGAAGTTCCCCCCAAGATGAAATGGAGCTAAAACAACCCCTTCCTCATGGGGCCGATGTCAGGAGCAAATGAGATTTTCTGCACACTACCTGCCACGCTACATGTTCCATAAACATTCACTGTTGTTCTGCAGTTCCTGATTAAATACACTCTACTTGGCCGTGTGTGTTGGCTCATGCCTGTAATCCCAGCACTTTGGAGGTGGATCCCTTGAGGTCAGGAGTTTGAGACCAGCCTGGCCAACATGGCAAAACCCCATCTCTACTACAAATACAAAAATTAACCAGGCATGGTGGTGTGCAAATGCAGTCCCAGCTACTTGGGAGGCTGAGGCAGGAGGATTGCTTGACCCTGGGAGGCAGAAGTTGCAGTGAACCAAATTTGCACAGCTGCACTCCAGCCTGAGTGACGGAGACTCTGTCTTAAAAAAAAAAAAAAAAAAAAAAAAAAAAAAAAAGCCAGGTGTGGTAGCTCATGCCTATAATCCCAGCACTGTGGGAGGCCAAGGCGGGCGGATCACCTGAAGTCAGGAGTTCAAGACTAGCCTGGTCAACAGGTTGGAACCCCATCTCCACTACAAATACAAAAATTAGCTGGGTTTGGTGGTGGGCGCCTGTAATCCCAGCGACTCGAGAGGCTGAGGCAGGAGAATTGCTTGAGCCCGGGAGGCAGAGGTTGTAGTGAGCCGAGATTGCTGCCACTCCACTCCAGCCTGGGGGACAGAGCAAGACCCCGGCTCACCAAAAACAAAACAACAACAACAACAAAAACCTTCTACTTGTCCAGGCATCCCTGGTCCCTCCAACCCAAAGGAACTTCAGTTTTAGCTCTGGACTCCCATAGCCTCCCAGTATGTCCCCTCTCACAGCATCAGTCACACTTGTGACTTGCTCCTCTGTCACCCCCTCTCCCTGCAAACTGTAGGCTGAGCAAGGGCAGGGCCTTAGCCTCACCCATCTGACTATCCAGCACCCAGCCCAGGGCCTGGCTGAAACCAGAGGCTTGGAAAATGCTTTCTGCAGGACTCAGACACCTGGCTCCCTTGCACTGGGCGTGGGGGTGGGCCCGTGAGGTTTTCCTGCCTCGGCACAGTTCTTTTCTCTGGATTACCCTTTCCTTCTCTCTCAGCCTACGCAACTCTGTTCTCATTCGGCAAGACAGCGCAAATGCCATCTTCCCCAGGAAGTCCTTCCTGAGCCGCCCGGTGCTGTGACCTCTCCCTCCTTGGAAATCTTAAAGCTCTGACTCCTTCAACCACTGACTTGCCACTTGCACATAAGCTCTCCAGCTTGATACCTTTAGGTTTGTTGGTTTGTTTTGTAGGATAATTTTTCTCTTCTGATGTTACATTCCCAATGAAATTTTGTTTTCCACTGAGGCGGGTGGCATTTACCAACATCTATCATCAGAGAAGGGCAGTTCCTCCAGAAAGTTGCATATCACACATGCTGCATGGCACATACATACACATAAAATTATTCCAGGCACACAGAGGAAAGATCGTGTGAGGACATAGCAAGAGGGCGGCCATCTACAAGCCAAGGAGAGAGGCCTCAGAGGAAAGCAGCCATGCCAACACCTTGATCTTAGACTTCCAGTCCCCAGCACTGTGAGAAAATAAATTCCATTGTTGAAGCCAAAAGAAAAAAAAATTCCATTTGTTCCCTGACTACTTTTTTATTTTTATTTTTTTTGAGACAGAGTCTCACTCCGTCGCCCAGGCTGGAGTGCAGTGGTGCAATCTTGGCTCACTGCAAGCTCCACCTCCCGGGTTCACGCCATTCTCCTGCCTCAGCCTCCTGAGTAGCTGGGACTACAGGCACCCACCACCATGTCCGGCTAATTTTTTGTATTTTTTAGTAGAGACGGGGTTTCACTGTGTTAGCCAGGATGGCCTCCCTGACTACTTTTAAAAAGGATTTAAAAATGGAATAAGGTGGCCGGGCACGGTGGCTCACACCTGTAATCCCAGCACTTTGGGAGGCTGAGGCGGGCGGATCACAAGGTCAGGAGAGCCAGACCATCCTGGCTAACAACGGTGAAACCCCGTCTCTACTAAAAATACAAAAAAAATTAGCCGGGCGTGGTGGCGGGCGCCTGTAGTCCCAGCTACTCGGGAAGCTGAGGCAGGAGAATGACGTGAACCCGGGAGGCGGAGCTTGCAGTGAGCCGAGATCGAGCCACTGAACTCCAGCCTGGGTGATGGAGCGAGGCTCCGTCTAAAATAAATAAATAAATAAATAAATAAATAAAAATGGAATAAGGTTTGTAATTTAGATAACGGTATTTTACCAACACCACCAATTTCCTGCTTTTGCTATTATACTGCAGATATATAAAATGTCACCATTGTGGGAAGCTGGGTGAAGGGTATATGGGACTCAATTTTGGTACTAATTTTGCAATTTCCTGTAAGTCTATAATTATTTAAAAATAACTTTTAAAGGCTTTGAGGCTGCTTAAACATCTAAAATTATATTAAATATAAAAACCAGTAATATCTATATTAGATAGGACGTAGAGACTTAGCAATAAGTGCACTTAGCAGTAAGTGCAAGCTTATTTATTAACAACTTTTTGATAATATTAAAAAAGATGGATAACAACCTCAGGGGATTGTTTTTGAGATTAGCAGTACCATCCACGTAATGGAATACTATGCAGATACTGGAAAGTGCCAAGTAGAAATGTATTTACTATTTTGGGAAACTTTTACCAATATTTTGGTGAGTTAAAAAATACCAACAGTGGCTCACGCCTATAATCCCATCACTTTGGGAAGCTGAGGTGGGCAGATCACTTGAGGTCAGGAGTTCAAGACCAGCCTGGTCAACATGGTGAAACCCCCGCCTCTACTAAAAATACAAAAATTAGCTGGGCACGGTGGTGCATGCTTGTAATCCCAATTACTTGGGAGGCCCAGGCAGGAGAATCGCTTGAACCTGGGAGGCAGAGGTTGCAGTGAGCCAAAATCACGACACTGCACTCCAGTCCGGGCAACAGAGCGAGACCCTGTCTCAAAACAAACAAACAAAAAAAAACAAATGATCTATCAAGTTTGGAAGAATATTCACCAAAATATTAAAAGTGATTGTCTTAGGTCAGTGGGATTGCAGATGGTTTTTTTCTTTTTTCTTTTTTTTTTTTTTTGAGACGGAGTCTTGCTCTGTCGCCCAGGCTGGAGTGCAGTGGTGTGATGTCGGCTCACTGCAAGCTCTGCCTCCCGGGTTCACGCCATTCTCCTGCCTCAGCCTCCTGAGTAGCTGGGACTACAGGCGCCTGCCACCACACCCGGCTAATATTTTGTGTTTTTAGTAGAGACGGGGTTTCACCATGTTAACCAGGATGGTCTCGATCTCCTGGCCTTGTGATCCGCCCGCCTCGGCCTCCCAAAGTGCTGGGATTACAGGTGTGAGCCACCATGCCCGGCCATTTTTTTTCTTTTTTTGAGACAGGGTCTGGATCTGTCGCCCAGGCTGGAGTGCAGTGCTGCAATTATAGCTCACTGTAACCTCAACCTCCTGGGCTCAAGCTATTCTCCTGCCTCAGGCTCCCGAGTAGCTGGGACTACAGGTATGAGCCACTGTGTCTGGCTCAAGGTCACTCATCTTAAGAATGGAGGGGTCCAAACTAGAGCTGTAAACCTAGTTTGGACAGAGAGAGACCCCTCTGTAATCCCAGCACTTTGGGAAGCCGAGGCGGGAGGATCTCTCGGGTCCATGATTTCGAGACCAGCCTGAGCAATAAAGTGAGACTCTCTCTACAAAAAATAAATAAGTAAATAATAAGTAATTAGCCGGGCGTAGTGCTGCGCACCTGTGGTCCCAGCTGCTTGGGAGGCTGAGGTGAGAGGATCACCTGAGCCTGGGAGGCGGAGGGTGCAGTGAGCCCAGATCTTCGAGCCACTGCACTCTAGCTTGAGCAACAGAGCAAGACCCTATTTCAAACAAACAAACAAAAAATGAGTGACCTTGAGCAAAACCCTGCCCCTCTTAGAACCTCAGATTTGCCGTCTTTACACAGAAGATGGACTTCAAACTCCCTACGACCTTGCCCGGCCCCCTCACGCTGAATTGGCTAGCGGGATGGTTTCCCAAGGGCTCTGCGGGAGACTGCAGCATAGCAGCGCCGCGGCTGCCGAGGGGTTAATACCGTTGGGCTCTTCCCCTTTTCTTGCCCCGCCCCACGGGCACCACCCCCGCCAGGGTTGTACCCTTGACCCCGCCTTCAGGCCTTGCGTCCACCGGAAGTACCCGCGCGCGGGCAGCTCACTTCCGCCCGGCAGGTGACAGCCGCGGGGCTCCGAGCCGCCGGCAGCCCGGACGCACCGGGAGAGCGAGAGGTGGAGGCCGCGGACATTTTGGTGCCAAGCCGAACCGAGCCGGGGCGCCGGGAGCTATTGGGACCTGCGGGTGAGGAAGCGGGGACCCGGGCGAGCCAGGAGAAGAAGTGGGGCGAGGGGTCAGGGGTCCTAGGTGAGGGGTTTGCGGGGTCAGAGGTCATGAAGAGGACGCGGCGCTGCAGGGGCGCGAGCGACGTCCCCAGCCAGAGGAGGAGGAAGGGCTGAGGGTTCGTTCATTCATTCGCGCCCACTTGGCCGCCGGCCTGTTCCTCGGCCGCCCCATACCCGCAGCACCTCCTGGGGCTTCCGCCCGGAGAGACAGGACTTAGGCCCCGAGGAATTCCCCACTGGCCTGAGGGAAAACTCTTCGGGCTCTGATTTCCTCTTTCGGACTCACCTCCATGGCCATCCTGAGGCCTCCTCGTTGTTCAGGGCGTTATCTCTTTGCCAAGGTTGAAAAAGAAGAAAGAAAAAAAAACTAGAAAACGGTCCCGTGCCGCCCGCCTCCGGCTAGGCACTGGCTTGGTCTTGTTTGTTGGAGCCTCTAAGACAAGTTAACTGAATGGAGACACCGGTGATAATGCTGCAAAATAACGAGGGAGATGCTTGCTAGTGGCTATCGAGTCCCTTCTGTGTACCGGGCACTGTGCTAAGCACTTTCCTTACAATGACACATTTAAACTTCACAGCAACCTTTGTGGGGATTAAATATCCCTATTTTATCGATGAGGACCCTGAGGCACAGAGAGGTTAAATCCCACATGTAAGGTCATTCGGGTAGTAGAGGCAAGGCCAGGTTTTCTGCCAGGCTGTCAGAGACCTGCAAAGTACAGAGACAAAGGAAAGACTGGAGTTAAGGTTGGGGTGTAGGGGATATTTAAGACTTTTAGCCAGACATGGTGGCTCACGCCTGTAATCCCAGCACTTTGGGAAGCTGAGGCGGGTGGATCGTGAGGTCAGGAGTTCAAGACCAGCCTGACCAACATGGTGAAACCCTGTCTCCAATAAAAATACAAAAATTAGCCAGACATGGTGGCGTACGCCTGTAATCCCAGCTACTTGGGAGGCTGAGGCAGGAGAATCGCTTGAACCCAGGAGGTGGAGGTTGCAGTGAGCCGAGATCGTGCGACTGCACTCCAGCCTGGGCCACGGAGTGAGACTCCGTCTCAAAAAAAAAAAAAAAAAAAAGATTTTTAGCTGCCGTTGTATTTATTTGGATTTATGTCACGATGTAGCCTTATTGCTTTTTGTCTGATCTTCATAAGGGGCATTCGACTTACTTTCTTTAGGATAAAACAATCCTACAGGCTGTTGCTATTAGTGATACCTTTCAGGGCAAGAGTCTAAGATTTTCCTGACTTTAGGGAACAGTGAGACACAAAACAGGCTATCCGTGAAAACTATTTGAAGATTGTCGAGAACTTCTCTTCAGAGTGGTTGAGCTGCATTCGTTTTGGTCTAAAAAGAGAGGAACCACATGACCTCTAGGGGATCTTTTGGTCCTAGGTTCTGGAAGAAGGTACCCAGAGGAAGAATCTTTGCCTTTCTGAGAAATATGCAGGCCCCATGGCTTCTTGCCAGAGCAGAGCACGTCTTACTTGGGAGGTGGTGAGACGGTTTGGTGGCTGGAGGACTAGGCTGTATGAATCTAAGCCTCATTCCATTGCGGATATTCACTTGCTTCAATTCTGCCTCAGTTTCCCTGACATCAACATGAGAAAGACCTGCCGCCTTCCTGTCTGCTCCTAGGGGTATGAACCTGTGAATGAACCCGTGAGGGCTTCCACATGGCTTCTGAAGAAAGCTGTATATAAATATTACTGTAATACCTTTTTTTTTTAAGCTGTGTGATCTATTCTCCTAGTTCCATTGAATTCACAGAAACTTAATATTGTCACCTTATATTCCCATCCTTCCAAGGGAGGATTTGAGATGAAGCAACTTGTCACAGAGGGTAGGAACATGAGCAGAGCTCAGAGCTTCTGGTTTTCTGTCCTGAGTTGAGCCCACCAGTCTCCTCTGACCTCTTAGAAACTGTCATGAGGAGCATCTTCAGTAGGTCTCAAAGAGTCAGATCCCTCAGAGATTGTGTGAAGATCATCTGTTGAGTGTAGGTCAGTGGAGGCTTCACCCTGAGCTGCTTCAAGAGCCCAGAGGTATGATGGAAAGATCACCAGACTCCCAGTCAGTCAGCCCTGGGTTCAACCCCAGCTCAGCAGCTTCCTGGCAGTGTGACCTGACCTGGACCGTTGACATAGGCTGGCCCTCCTTTACCTCAGTTCTAAAATAATACTGGCCACCCTTTCTGACTCCTCTACCCCTGGTTTGTGTGAGGGTTAGATGGGAAAATTTGTGCAGGGCCTGTGATTTTTGGGTGCTTTGACTCTAGGCAGACTGATGCCTGCTGGGGGCCTGTGTCTGAGGAAGGCTGCCAACCTTGGCTTCTGGAGCGTTACTTCCTTCTGCAAACAGAGACCTTAATGTACGCAGGACTTTTTCCACCCTTCTTGTTTCACTTCCTAAAAGTAGTTCAGAACAAGTTCAATTTGTTGGTCCTTCTGGCTTTGAGCTTGGGCTTGCATCTTTTTCTAGTCATCCTCTGAAACTCTTGCATGTCTTAACTACTTCCCAGGAACTTCCCGTGTCTGGCACCAAAGCCTGACATGCTGACAGTAAGCAAACATGGCTTGGGTTTTGCACTTCGCTGTGTTTCTGAAGGTTGAGGTGACATCTGTGCCTTGCAGACATTTCTTTTTCTCAGCAGGTCTTTTTGCCTAAGAGACATCGTTGATATTATCACAGCCCAGAAGTGATTTTTCTGTTCTTTATGTCTTCACATGGAGAGGAACAAATACTCCTGAGAAAAAATGTCAACAGAGCAGTTGGGGAATCCTTAAAGAAAATTCTGCTTGAAAATTCATCAGTGGCTCCTAGTTGCCCTCGGGCTAAAACTCACATTCCTTAGCATGGCATTCAAGGCCCTTTGGACTCTGACCCCTGCCTAGCTCTCTTTTGTCATCTCTCCTGCTCCACACTCACCTTTTCCCAAGCTCCAGTCAACCTCAGCTACTTGCTACTTCTGCAAGCACCAACTCTTTTTCTTTTTTCGAGACAGGATCTTGGCTTGTTACCCAGACTGTAGTACAGTGGAGCTGTCATAGCTCACTGCAGGCTCCAACTCCTGGGCTTGAACGATCCTCCTGCCTCAGCCTCCCAAGTAGCTAGTACTACAGATGGGTGCCACTGTGCCTGGCAAATTGTTTTTATTTTTTGTAGAGATGGAGTCTTGCTATATTGCTCAGGCTGGTCTCAAACCCCTGGCCTCAAGCAGTCCTTCTGTCTGGGCCTCCCAAAGTGCTGGGATTACAGGCGTGAGCCACCACACCTGGCCTCCCAACTCTTTATACCTCTCTGTCTTTGCTTTGCACTCTTCCCTCTGCCTGAACACCATTTCCTGCTCTCCCAACCTTACCTGCCTAGCTGGAGTGCTACTTGGTTCTTCCCATCTGATCATCACCCCTAGGTCTGAGCTAGATGCCCCTCCTTGATGCCCTCTGGCAAGGGTCACAGTGGGTTGTGATTGTTTATTTGGCTCTCTTCTAAGTAAATAGCTCTTTTTTTTTTTCCAGACAGAGTCTCGCTTTTTCGCCCATGCTGGAGTGCAGTGGCGCGATCTTGGCTCACTGCAACCTCCGCCTCCCGGGTTCAAGCAATTCTCATGCCTTAGCCTCCAGAGTAGCTGGGATTACAGGCACCTGCCACCATGTTTGGCTAATTTTTGTATTTTTAGTAGAGATGGGGTTTCACCATGTTAGCCAGGCTGGTCTCGAACTCCTGACCTCAAGTGACCCGCCTGCCTCGGCCTCCCAAAGTGCTGGGATTACAGGTTTGAGCCACCGTGCCTGGCCAGTAAATAGCTTTTAATCCTTGACGAAGACCTGCCTTAACTACGTCTCCAGCACCTAGTGAGGTGTCTGGTACATAGTTGGTGCTCAGCAGGTGTTGAATGAGTGAATGAATGAATATTGCATTGAATTGTTAGGATTCCTTGACTCCTAAGGGGTTCAAAGCACTTTCTAGATTATCTCCTGTCCATCCTCATGTCACCTCATAGAGACAGGGAGAAATCTGATCAGTGCTGAGACTACTTTCAAACTACAGTTGGTACCACCAGACAGCCATCAGGGTGTTTCAGGGCTTCCAGAGACCTGGGAATCTGGTACGGAGCAGGGAAGTGGTAAACTCTCTCTCTCTCGGTAGTAGTAATAGTGGCTAACATTTATCAGGCATTTTGTGGGCCGGGCACTGCTAAGGGCTAGGTATGTATTGACTTGTTTTAGCCTCACAAACCCTTCAGGCATGTAACATTGTAGTTCCCATTTTACAGTTGTGCTGCAGTTGTGCCTGTTTGCTTTGTAGAACCTGGGAGAGCCCCTGTCCTACCTGCAATGGCTGCCTTCACCTACCCACTCCTTGTGTTTAGATTGTCCCCTCTTATATAGTGGAGCTGAGGAAGGACTTGGCTATGGTTCTACACTCCTACACCTCATGCTGTCTGGGTCTTTAGCCTTGGACTTGACCTCTGACCTCTGTCAGGAAGGGAGGCCTCTCCTAGTTGTGGTATGAGTGTGGCCTAACTCTGGGTTGACCCCACAAGGCCCAGAATTCATCAGTTACTGGGATGCCTTAGTCACTGATCCCCCAGGTTACCACCAATTACCACAGTCTACCCTGTGGACTCGGAGCTGGAAGGTGGTAGGTTTGAAAGTCAGGTCTCAAAAGCTTTTTTTTTTTTTTTTTTTTGAGACGGAGTCTGGAGTGCAGTGGCGTGATCTCGGCTCACTGCAAGCTCTGCCTCCCAGGTTCACGCCATTCTCCTGCTTCAGCCTCCTGAGTAGCTGGGATTACAGGCGCCCGCCACCACGCCCGGCTAATTTTTCTATTTTTAATAAAGACGGGGTTTCACCGTGTTAGCCAGGATGGTCTCGATCTCCTGACCTTGTGATCCGCCCACCTCAGCCTCCCAAAGTGCTGGGATTACAGGCGTGAGCCACCGCACCCGGCCCAGGTCTCAAAAGCTTTAAAACTGAACCTTCAGTGTTCATTTTTGGCATTTCAGTAGCTGAGTTCCATAGAGGAATAGACTTGGGTGGTAGATACTTTTTACCACACCCTCCTTACATTTAGGATCTTAAGCCTATTGGGAGCAGAATAACACAATTTCAGTAGAGCCAGCCTTGGGTCTGCTGCTGTGGTGGTCTTCATTGCCCGATCTCCGAGTATTGGGTGGCTGGCTGCTGGGACACTGAGGACAGAGACTTTCTAAGTCCAGTATTCATTCAGTATTTATCGAGGCCTGCTAATGCCTGGTGCTGGCCTATGCTGATAGGTCAACAGGCCAGATATGGCTTCAGGCTTCAGATAAGCCCTCTAGTTGCTTACTTCATTTTAATGGGAGAGAGAGACAAAGAAGTAGAGAAAAAAATGCAATGATTAGAAAAACCAATAAGCCACAAGGGAAACAAAAGGCATAGCAGCCAGAACTTATTAAAATATAGGTCAGATGTCAGGACTCCTCTGCTCAAAACCCTCCAGTGGCTCCAGCTCACTCAGTAAAAGCCAGAGACCTCACGCTTGATCATAAGGCCCCCTGCATTCTCCTGTGACTTCCTGACCCACTGTTTTCCTCATTGCTCACTCAGCCACATTCACTTCCCTTCTGTTCCTCAGACATGCCAGGCACATACTCACCTTTGCACTGGCGATCTCTTTTGCTTGGCAGGCTCTTTCGCAGACAGTGTCACCTGTCACCTTCTCAAGGAGGCCTTCTATGGCCACCCTAGTTAAATTTTAACTTCCCTTCCTCCCCTCTCCCCTCCCTATCCTCCTTCCCTCCTCTTTTTTGCCTCCATTGTGTTTATCACTATCTAAGATGTTATATATTTTACTCACTTATCTTGCTTACGGTCTCTTTCCCCCATTAGGACATAAACTCCATGTAGGGAAGGATTTTTGTCTGTTTCTTTCACTCCTGCATTCCCAACATGTAGAAGTGTTTCTGGTACACGAAAGATGCTCAGGAAATGTATGAATAAGAACACTGAAGGATGTGGACAGAGAAATACCTTCTTAAGGTTGTACATGCATGGCCAGGTGCCGTGGCTCATGCCTGTAATCCCAGCTACTTGGGAGGCTGAGGTGGGAGGATCATTTGAGGCCAGGAGTTCAAGACCAGCCTGGATAATTTAGCGAGACTCCACAAAAAACTTGAAAAGATTAGCTGGGCATGGCACACGCCTGTAGTCCCAGCTACTCAGGAGGCTGAAGCAGAATTGCTTGAGCCCAGTAGTTTGATGCTGCAGTGAGCTATGATCACACCCCTGCACTCTAGCCTGGGTGACAGAGCAAGACTATCTGTCTCTAGCAACAACAACAAAAAAGATAGTACATGTAGGAAAGGTATTTTTTTTTTGTTTCTTTTTTTAAGCATCAGAGGTATCACGCTGAAGGGAAGTTATCTTTGAAATGAGATCATCTAAGCTGAGATTTGAAGGATAAATTGGAGCAGTTAGGAGAGGATAATCCAAGCAGAAGGATCAGCAAGGGTAGAGATAGTGAAGAGTTGGCTGTTAGAGGAACAAAGAAGGCATGTGGGCCTGGAGGCAAGGACCTGGTACTTATATCCTGTGCCAGAGCCCCCCACCTTCTGCAGCTCTGTCACTCTGAGCTGATACCTATGGGAGCAGGTGAGAGTGACTTGGCCTCACTGAACGTTTCTCCCACTGGAGATGTTGCCACCTGATCTTCTACCCTTGCCATTTCTTCTCTCTCTCATAATTTATTCACTTAACTTCCATTTATTGGCTGTAAATGTGCTAGGGGTCTGGCATGTTCAATTTCAGTATAGTTAGAATAGCTTGACAATCAGAGCAGATGTATCTCTGATCCTGGATAACCCCGTGAATGGAACATGGAGAAGCTGCTCTAGCAGAGGTTGGTTTACAAAACATGAAATTTGCCCAAGAAGAGAGTTGAGCACTGGTCATTCAGCTACTTATTGAACACCTGTTTGCCAGGTACCAGCCTAGGAGTCAGGAATATGATAGTGAACAAAATGGACAAAATCCTTACCCCCATTTACATTAGGGAATTTATAGGGGGAGAAAGAATAGACAACGTAAGTATATTTTATAGTGTGTAGGTAATAGGTAATAAGTACTTTGAAGGGAAAAAGGGCAAAGAGGGTTAGGAAGTGGTGGGGATTATGGGGGAGGGGTATACAATTTTAAATAAAATGGTCAAAGAAGGCCTCAATGAGAAGATGACATTTGAGCCAAGACCTAAAGAGGTGAGGGACTGAGCCATGAGGCTGTCTGGAGAAAGAGCCTTCCTAGCAAAGTGAATAGCACGGGCAAAGGCCCTGGGGTGGATGCATGTTGTGTTCGAGGATCAGTAAAGAGGCCTGTGCGGCTGGAGCTGAGGGAATGATGGGGAGAAGAGTTCAAAGGGTAATGGCCAGCAGGGTGCATGCGTGAGAGAGGAGGGGCATGCATCTCTTATAGGACCTGTGGGCTATGAGGCCATGGTAGGGACTTTGGCTTTTACTATGAGTAAGACAGAGAACCGTTGGAAGACGTTGAGCAGAGGGGTGCTACTGTCTGATTTGGACTGTAAGAGGATCATCCTGGCTGTTGCTGAGATGGGGTGTCAGCAAAGCAGTGTGGGAGCAGCTTTGTTAGCACTCTAAATGGAAGGTGATGCTGGCTTGGAGCTGGGGTTAGTGATGGAGCTAGTGAGAAGCTGCTCATGGATTCTAGATTCATTTTGAAGGTCGGAATCCAATAGGATTTGCCGATAGATTTAAAGGAGAGTATGTTGTTAAGAGTGACTCAGGTTTTTAGCCTGAGGCCCTCTTAAAGATGGTGCTGGCAGGAACTAGATGATGTAGACTGCAGGGTGAGCCAGTTGGGGAAAGGAAGGAAGCAGGAGGTCAGTTTTTATCCCATTGTTTGAGCTGCCTGCTAGTCATCTCCACAGTAATGTGGAGATGTCAGTTACACAGTTTGGACATGTGTGCCCGGGGGTTCTGGGGAGAGGTTGGGCTATGTGGATGGTATGTAAAGCTGTGATACCGGATGATCCACCAAAGAGGCAAAATAGCATAGATGGGGAAGAGAAGAGGTACCAGGCCTGAGCCCTGGGGCACACAGTGTTGAAGGAGAAGGAGAGGAACAAGCAAAGGAGACTGAGAAGGCGCAGACAGTGGCGTAGGAGGGCAGGCAGAGAGCATGGCATCCTAGCATTTGAGGGAAGACAGGTTTTCAGGAAGGAGGGAGTGATCAGTAGTGTCAAATGCTTATCAGCATGAGACTTGTCATTTGACATGACCATTGTGTCTTCTCCTGGCAGGACCCAACACACCTGGCATCCAGAACCATTTCTGAATCTCATTCTTCCTTCCCTAGCCTCGTCTGCTCCTTTCCCTTCCAGGTCCTTTCCTTCAGCCAGGCAGCGGGGCTCACAGACTTCTTGTTTTGGCCTTAGGTAAATCACTCATCTCTCAGTGTCTCTAATTCCTTGTTTTTTAACTGAATTACCCTGAGAATTAAATGAGAAGGGTTGTAAATCACTTAGCAAGAAGCCGTTCCCCAGCTAGTGTTGATTTAATTGTTGTCAGTTCCCTCCGTTGTCACATTGGCAATTTCGTGGTGCATCTCTTTGCCACCTCCACTCTTGCCTCTCTAAATCTGACCTGTCTTTTTGCGTCAGCCAAGCCCCTCTTCATCTAAGAGAACTTCCCTTGCTGCTCCACCTATCTCAGAACCCTCCTCCTCTGGAGGCATGATCACTCTGCCGTTCCCCTGCAGTCCTTTACCTGGCCTCTAAATCTGTAAGAGCTCAGTGAGAAAAGACTGTCCTTTGTTTACTGTGTGCATGCTTCCGTGTGGGGCACAGTTCCAGGCATGGAGCGGATGGTGCTCTACACTGTTAATTTGACAGATCTTCAGAAAGTGTTCCCATTACATAGATGGGAAAACCGAGATCACAAAGAGCGTTGTTCTGTAGTCTCTGGCCTCTTTCTCCTCATCTCGATTAATTTAAGTATTGTTCAGAAGAAGCCTTACTTACTTTATTTTCAAGTCCAGAGGAACTTTTTCTTTTTTTGAGATGGAGTCTTGCTCTGTCACCCAGGCCAGAGTGCAGTGGTGCGATTTCAGGTTCAAGCAATTCTCCTGCCTGAGACTCCTGAGTAGTTGGGACTATAGGTGCGAGCCACCATGTCCAGCTAATTTTTGTATTTTTAGTAGAGATAGGTTTCGCCATGTTGGCCAAGCTGGTCTCGAACTCCTCACCTCAAGTGATCTGCCCACCTCGGTCTCCTAAAGTGCTGGGATTACAGGCATGAGCCACTGCGCCCATCACTTTTTTTTCTTCACAGCAGATCTTTCCGCACATTACGGCTTATAGATCAGTTCAGAACTGGTACCTGATTCTAGAATGGAGTTCTAGAGACTCAAAGCCAATATAAGAACGTTTGCATGTGACATTTGTCTGCCTTTAGTTCCTTTTCATTCTGAAGTCTTTAATTGCTAGTGGGCCTCAGGAAACTGACTTTTTTTTTTTTTTTTTTTTGTGGGACGGAGTCTTGCTCTGTTGCCCAGGCTGGAGTGCAGTGACACGATCTCAGCTCACTGCAAGCTCCGCCTCCTGAGTTCACACCATTCTCCTGCCTCAGCCTCCCGAGTAGCTGGGACTACAGGCACCCGCCACCAGGCCCAGCTAATTTTTTGTATTTTTAGTAGAGATGGGGTTTCACCGTGTTAGCCAGGATGGTCTCGATTTCCTGACCTCATGATCCGCCCGCCTCGGCCTCCCAAAGTGCTGGGATTACAGGCGTGAGCCACTGCGCCCGGCCTTTTTTTTTTTTTTTTTTTTTTTTTGATACGGAGTTTCTTTCTCTCGCCCAGGCTGGAGTGCAGTGTCACATTCACAGCTCACTGCAGCGTCAACCTCCCAGGCTCAAGCAATCTTCCCACCTCAGGCTCCTGAGTAGCTGATACTACAGATGTATGCCACCACACCTGGCTAATTGTATTTTTGTAGAGATGGGGTTTCGCCATGTTGCCCAGGCTGGTCTTGAACTCCTGCGCTCAAGAGATCTGTCTGCCTCAGCCTCACACAGTGCTAGGATTACAGGTGTGGGTCACCGTGCCCGGCCAGGAGATTGATTTTGACTAATCAGTTTTCATCCAAATCCCAGGAGGCCCATAACTTGGCAAGCGCACCCAGATAGGCTTTCACTAGGCACATGACCAAACTTGACGTTCCCTGTTGTCCAAACCGGCTGGGCTGGCCCTAAAATAACCTGTAATTCAACATCTGAGGGACTCTGCAGGGATGTGTGGCAACCCATTTCACATACCCTTTACCCTAGAGCATGTATATTTCTGCCAGGGCTTCATTCAGAGAGGAGCAGTTAGTTGCCTTGCTGGACAGAGTGGGACATGTGTGACCTTATTAGGGGGCAGCAGTGGAGAGTGCCGGCACTGCCATTTTCTAGCTGTGTAACTCCAAACAAATGCCTTGACCTCCCTGGTACTTCAGTTTCCTCATCTGTAAACTTGTGATAATATTAAAACCTTCATGGATTATCGTGAAGACTAACTTTTTTTTTTTTTTTTTGAGACAGAGTCTCGCACTGTCACCCAGGCTGGAGTACAGTGGCACGATCTTGGCTAACTGCAACCTCCGCCTCCCAGGTTCAAGCGATTCTCCTTGCCTCATCCTCCAGAGTAGCTGTGATTACAGGCGCCCGCCACCATGCCTGGCTAATTTTTTTGTATGTTTAGTAGAGACAGGTTTCACTATGTTGACCAGGCTGGTCTCAAACCCCTGACCTCATGATCTGCCAGCCTCAGCCTCCCAAAGTGCTGGGATTATAGATGTGAACCACCACGCCTTTCCACGAGGACTAACTTTAAAGCTCTTTACATAGTGTCTGTCACATGGTGCACATCCATTTACCATTACTACTACCACTGCCACCTTTGTTCCAAATTTCATGCTGAGCCTAAAGAACACAGATTATTTTCTCATAGTGATTGAACTGACTTGGAAGAGCCTGTCTGAATTTGGTAACCACGTTTTCTCAGAGAGAAAGTCTGAAATCTGGTTTTTCTACTGCTGACTCACCTTTTAGTCTTCCAGCTGGCCTTACCTGTTTCCCTGTCTGTAAAGTGAACTTAAGTATTTACCTATAAGGACCTTTTTCCTTTTTTTTTTTTTTTTTTTTTTTTTGAGACAGGGTCTCACTCTGTCACCCAGGCTGGAGTGCAGTGGCACGGTCTCGGCTTACTGCAACCCCCGCCTCCCAGGTTCAAGCGATTCTTCCACCTCAGCCTCCCGAGTAGCTGGGATTACAGGCACCTGCCACTACACCCAGCTAATTTTTGTATTTTCAGTAGAGACAGGGTTTCACCATGTTGGCCAGGCTGGTCCCAATCTCCTGACCTCAAGTGATCCTCCCACCTCGGCCTCCCAAAGTGCTGGATTGTGGGCATGAGCCAGCATGCCCGGCCCCTTTCCCTTTTTAAAAGGAGATTGTCAGACAAATGAGGAGTGGTGAATAGCGTCATCATCTCTAACGAACTCTAAGCTTTGTGGGAGCAGGTACACAGTCCAGGGCATGGCACAGAGTAGAGGAATACTTGTCAAATGAATTAACCTCTGCCTTTGAAACAGAACCAAAGCAGCAAAACACATGGAATGAACAAAGTTTGGCCTTTCTGCTCCAAATGAAGAAGAAACAGTGGCATCACCCCAGCCCCTTTTTTTCCACTCTTCCCTAACTTCCTCTTGACTGTCCATGAGCTAACAGGTTCTATGGAGCAGGTTTCTGACAGCTATTCATTCATTAGGGAAGTGTTTAACAGTGGCAGTTCCAGTACCAAAGTTGGAAGCCACCAACATAGACCTTCAGAGATCAGTTTTCCCTGCTTGAATGTCCTTGAGTTCAGAGATAGAGATGCAACTGGATCTGACCTTGTGAAATGTCTCTTTCCCCTTTTCCTTTCCTAAAGCTTTTTCTCTGCCTCATCTCACCACACTGATGGTCTCCTTCATTAATTCACTGAGTGCCAAGAGTGTGCAGTGCCTTGTGCTGCCACCACCAACTTCACACTTCTCATCTGATTGAAGAGCATGGGCTGCTCTGACATGAATCATTGCCCGGAGACTAGAAAAGGCCTTCCCCTGACATTGGCTGGCCATTTGGAGAAATTGAAACACTCTGTTGTTTGGCTTCTTACTGTTTTCCTTCCTACAGAAGACCTAATGGGGTTTGCTGGCCTTGGCTGCATTCTGAATTTGTTCTCTTTTTTTCCCTTTGGAAACATCTTATGTCATGTTCTTAGAATGATCATACTCTACTTCCTCGTGTTTGACACCTGGGAAGAACACTCATTGGTAGGGAAATGGGCCCCTCATCCAGCAGAGAATCATAGAATGTGAGATGTGGGAGAGATTTGTCATTCAGTAGACTGGTTTTCAAGCTTTGCTCCATAGAACCACGGGATGTCTGAAGGGCCGTGGTGAGGATGGGGAGAGGTAGGCATAGTGAAATGAGCCAGGCTCTAGGCCTCCCACCCTTCTTTCCACCAGAACAGTTCCACTTTTATCTGTTTGAAATGGTTTAAGAGTAGAGAGGGACTTGAGCCATTGATTAATCATATTCTTTTGTTTGACATTTGGAGAAAGGCAGGCCCAGAGATGGGGGTAGTTGCCCAGGGTCACACAGCTGTTGGTAGTAGGGCCAGATTTCCTGGCAGCCATCTTGACATTGCATCAGCCTTGCCATGTTAACTGCAAAGCCTTATGTTCCCAGTCTGGTCTGCCCAGTCATCACTGTCTGGCACTTGTCACAGCTCTCTCATCTTAATCTGTTTTGGGCCCTTGGTTTTGTAGCTTCTCTGGGAAACTGTCTTTTCATTCATTTTGCCAGCAAACATTTGGTGAGCTCCTAGAATGTGCCAGGCATCGTGGCAGTCACTGGGTTGACAGCATTCAACAGGACAGATCCCAAATTAGGGGAGGAAGTCTGTGGGGAAATCTGAGATGCTTTTTTTTTTTTTTTTTTTTTTTTTTTGTGATGGAATCTCACTCTGTCACGCAGGCTGGAGTGCAATGGCACAGTCTCACCTCACTACAACCTCTGCCTCCCAGGTTCAAGCGATTCTCCTGCCTCAGCCTCCCGAGTAGCTGGGACTACAGGCGTGTGCCACCACACCGACTAATTTTTTTGTGTTTTTAGTAGAGACGGGGTTTCACTATGTTGGCCAGGCTGGTCTCGAACTCCTGACCTTGTGATCCACCTGCCTCGGCCTCCCGAAGTGCTGGGATCACAGGCATGAGCCACCGCGCCCGGCCAGAACTGCCTATTCTTTTGCATGGTTGTATAGTATTCCATATGTCCATATGCTGTGCTATCATTTTATTTATGTATAGAGTTGGGGTCTTACTGTGTTGCCCAGGCTGGCCTCAAACTCCTGGGCTCAAACTATCCTCACCACTCAGCCTCCTGAGTAGCTGGAGCCACAGATGTGCCCAGCTCTACTGTGCTGTCATTTTTTAAAACAATCCTGTGGATGGACATTTACAGTATTTTGCTATTAGAAAGGATGTTGCATGAATAATTTTGTATCTACGTAGTTTTCCACATGTAAAGTCCTAGAAGCAGAATTACTGGGTCAACGGGTAAGGACCTTTGCAATTTTAATGGCTGTTACCGATTTGCTTCAGAGGTTGTAGCGTTTCAGACTATCACTAGCCTCAAATGAGGGCGCCTATTTACCTATGTCAGCTCCAACATGGGGTGTTATTAGACTCTTGGCTCTTTATCAGTTCAGCAGCTGACAGGTTATATTTCACCGTAGTTTCAGTTTCTGTGTCTCTTAGAAATAAGCTTGAACCATTATATTAATTCACTTTCTGTGAACTGTCCACATCCTCTGCCATTCTCCTATTTGTAGTCACTTTTTATATAGGAAAATAGGCCTTGTCTGCAATGTGATGCAAATGTTAGTGAGTATGTTTATCATACGGCTTTTGGCTTTTTATTGTTTTGGCCATGCAGGAAAACTCAATTTTTATGGAATTGAATTCATGGTTCTTTTAAGATTTCCAGATTTGATGTCACACTCCAAAGACTTTCCTCTGGATGCAATGTTTCATTCTTCCTTTCTTCTCCAGATTTGAGTTTTATTTTGTTATTTTTTTAAAAACAAAATTTTTTTTTAGACAGAGTCTTGCTCTGTTGCCCAGGCTGGAGTGCAGTGGCGCCGATCTTGGCTTACTGCAACCTCTGCCTCTGGGGTTCAAGCGATTCTCCCACCTCAGCCTCCCAAGTAGCTGTGATTACAGGCATGCACCGCCACCATGCCCAGCTAATTTTTGTATTTTTAGTAGAGATGGGGTTTTGCCATGTTGGCCAGGCTGGTCTTGAACTCCTGACCTCAGGTGATCCACCCCCCTCAGCCTCCCAAAGTGCTGGGATTACAGGTGTGAGCCACCGTGCCTTGCCTTTTTTTTTTTTTTCAGACCGAGTCTTGCTCTGTCGCCCAGGCTGGAGTGCAGTGGTGCCACCTCAGCTTGCTGCAACCTCTGCCTCCTAGGTTCAAGCGATTCTTGTGCTTCAGCCTCCCATGTAGCTGGGATTACAGGTGCCCACTACCAGGCCCAGCTAATTTTTGTATTTTTACTAGAGACGGGTTTCACCATGTTAGCCAGGCCAGTCTCGAACTCCTGGCCGCAGGTGATCCACCCGCCTTGGCCTCCGAAAGTGCTGGGATTACAGGCCTCTGCGCCCAGCACATTTTTTAAAATGTCTGTTTAATTTACACCAAGTGACATGCTTGGCTCTTAAGTGTACAGTGTGTCCAGTATCTGCATCAGGATGCAGATCATTTCCCTTACTGCAGGGGCCCTTCATGCCCACTTTCAGTCCTTCCCACCCAGAAGCATCCACTGACCTGACTGTTATCACCGTAGCTTAGGTTTGCCTCTTAGAGCTTTGTACACATGAAATCTTGTGATATTTATGATGTTTACATTTTTTCTTGTCAACGTGCTTTCATTCTCACATTAGCCCTTGTCAGAAGAAATATGTGAAATACACAGAAGAGCAGGTACAGCAGTCCCCACCCCCCACTCTTTTTTTCTTTTTTTGAGACACGGTCTCACTCTGTCACCCAGGCTGGAGTGCAGTAGTGCGATGTTGGCTCACTGCAACCTCCTGCCTCCCAGGCTCAAGTAGTCCTCCCACCTCCGCCTCCTGAGTAGCTGGGACTACAGGTGTGCACCACCATGCTAATTTGGTAGAGACAGGATTTCACCATGTTTCCCAAGCCAGTCTCAAACTCCTGGCCTCAAGCAATTTGTCCGCCTTGGCCTCCCAAGGTGCTGGTATTCACAGGTGTGACCCACAACACCCGGCTTGATCTCCCCATTTTAAAGAGGGAAATTGAACTATGGAGATGAAGTAGACTCAGTTCAGCATACTTTCCTTTTAAAGGTTGTCACCAATTTTGAGACATTGGAGAAAAATTGAAATACTATACTTAGTACCCATTTTCTTATGTTTTTATTTTTTTCATTCTCAAAGGAGGTGATTTTCTTATGTTTTAAAAATAGATATAAATTCATTTTATTAGCTTAAAACACAGAAAGATAGTCTATATTTCTTGTTCCTAAAATTATATTTAGATATATGAAGACAAAATTTGAAAAATATTGAGAACTTTTTTTCCTTTAAGCCTAACCCTAACTTCAGCAGCTAAAAACCAAAGTCTTTAGATGGAAATGTTTTTTCTTCTTCCCTTTTTTTTCCTTAGGACCTAGGACCTCTTTTTCCCTCTCTTAGATCATGTTACATCTTTGTCCCTGGACACTGTTTCCAAAAGTCTCACCAAGGGCTTCTTTATACATCTAGAAAACATAAGAGAGAAAGCTACTATATTTTAGGCTTTATTGCTCAGTTCCTTTTCTTTTCTTTTTTCTTTTTTTTTTTTTTTTTGAGACCCAGTTTCGTTCTTGTTGCGCAGGCTGGAGTGCAATGCTGCGATCTCACCTCACTGCAACCTCTGCCTCCCGGGTTCAAGTGATTCCCCTACCTCAGCCTCCCGAGTAGCTGGGACTACAGGCACCCGCCAGCATGCCCGGCTAATTTTTTGTATTTTTAGTAGAGATGGGGTTTCACCATGTTGGCTAGGCTGGTCTCGAACTCCTGACCTCAGGTGATCTGCCCACCTGGACCTCCCAAACTGCTCGGATTACAGGCGTGAGCCACCATGCCCAGCCTCAGTTCCCTTTCTTTAATTCTAAAAAATGAAGTTAACCAGAACTGTTTCTGGGATGTGACATCAAAGTCATAATCTTTCAAATGTGGGTGTGAGAAATATTAAGATTAAGAGAGGACAGCCACACTGGCTCCTCAAGGGTGAAACCAGTTGTTCCAGGTATGCCCCTCTTTTAATTTTGACCATGCCATCCCCTTGAGGCATTTCTTGGCCTGTAAATGCTGAAATTGAGGGGGGGATCCCAGCCCAGAATGCTGTCTCCTTAGCAAAGTGACTCATTATACTGGCCAGAGCAGTTTCTGAATCAAAAATTCCCCGTAATTAACCACTTTAAAAAATTTGCCCTGACACTTCCAAAGATGGAATCCAAACCCTAAGCTTTTTCTTGCCTAAATTTGCTGGCTTTTTTTTTTTGAGACGGAGTCTCACTCTGTCGCCCAAGCTAGAGTGCAGTGGC
This sequence comes from Homo sapiens, assembly GCF_000001405.40. Classification (NCBI taxonomy): domain Eukaryota; kingdom Metazoa; phylum Chordata; class Mammalia; order Primates; family Hominidae; genus Homo; species Homo sapiens. The sequence goes on along the minus strand of NC_000022.11, from coordinate 29,371,684 downwards.
GCGATCTCTGCTCACTGCAAGCTCCGCCTCTGGGTTCATGCTTCTCCTGCCTCAGCCTCCTGAGTAACTGGAACTACAGGCACGTGCCACCACACCCGGCTAATTTTTTTTATTTTTCATAGAGATGGGGTTTCACCATGTTAGCCAGGATGGTCTCGATCTCCTGACCTCGTGATCTGCCCACCTCAGCCTCCCAAAGTGCTGGGATTACAGGCATAAGCCACCGCGCCCAGCCGCTGCCTGCTTTCAAATATGATTCGTGTACCCGATCAGATTCATCAGAGAACAAGGTCTCAGCCCCTTTGGCCTCTATGGGGTAGGGATACAGTGCATGATAACAGCCAAGCAGGTGCCAGGAAAAACACCAGTCTTTCTCATGGCATCTATGAGTCTGAGCCCCGTTAGGACTGAACTGTAGGGTTTTTTCCATTCCTGCGGAGAGAATGAGAAATCTCTTGCACTGATATCCATCCAAGAGGCAACTGCAAGACCAGGTACCAGCATTAGGTGCTCACAATGGAGAAAGGACACGAGGAGATAGCTGCCCTCAGTACATCACTAAGCTGTAGGTAGGGAATCATTCATGGTGAAGTGAGGTGTTTTGTTTTGTTTTGTTATCTGTGTTTTGGGGTGGCTTTCTAAAGCGTTTCACTTTTCTCCGCATCTCCTCCCTTCTCTACTTTAATTTCCTGCATATGAAACAACTTCAGAGGGATACATTTCTGCATCATCAGTCCCATTGGGCCCTCTGCAGAGGGATATGTGAAACAGATACTGCGGAAAAAAGCTGCAGCCAGCACCAGTGCACTGAGTGGCAGTTAAGTTTGTGAGTAGTTGCTTAGCACCTGTAAAAGGAAGACTGTCACGGAAAGCTCAGCGCTGTTGGGGTATCTGCAGCTGTGCTTTGACCAGCTACCCTGCAGCTGTGCTTTGACCAGCTACCCTGCAGCTCTGTCACTTTTTTTTTAAATCCCCAGAAAGAAAGGCTTTCTCACCCGTTTCTCCTCTTGGTCAGTTGCATACAGCACCCATCTGTCACCAGCAGGTTGCGTCCTGGGAATTTAGGGCCCTCTGATGTTGTATTGGGCCTGCAGGGGAGGGGACAGGCTCTGACGGCTTTTTCTTCTGGAGAGGCAAGAAATTCCGAGCAGCTCTCACATTAGTTATCTAAGGTATTTTGTTTGTTTTATTCACTTTTCTTTCTTTCTTTCTTTCTTTTTTTTTTTTTTTTTGAGACTGAGTCTCACTCTGTCGCTCGGGCTGGAGTGCAGTGGCACGATCTCAGCTCACTGCAGTCTCCACCTCCTGAGTTCAAGCAATTCTCTTGCCTCAGCCTCCCGAGTAGCTGGGACTACAGGCACATGCCACCACGCCCAGCTAATTTTTTGTATTTTAGTAGCGACGGGGTTTCACTATGTTGCCCAGGCTGGTCTCAAACTCCTGAGCTCAGGCAATCTGCCCACCTCAGCCTCCCAAAGTGCTAGGATTACAGGCATGAGCCACCACGCCCGGCCACTTTTGTTTCTTTTTAGATTTAATGTTGGAGTGGTTTCTGTGTTACTTTCTGTGTTTCTTTGTGGCCTGTGAGTTTTAGCCCCTTTTGTCTTCAGTTATCCCTCTTACACTCAACCTTGAGAAATGATATTATCCTATTATTTTGGATACTTTTGGCAGTTACACTCTCAAGTCTGTGACTTCTGGAACCATGCAGATCTTTATTGTAAGACAGAAATCCCATTATCTGATTTACCTGCCCATTTTCAGAGGTCCCCAAAGAACCCCTAGGTTGGTGAGGTTTCTTTGAGAAAATGGCTTTATGTGTGTGCAAAAAAAAAAAAAAAAAAAAATCGTTTTTAATGTCGGTAAATTCCTGTTGGAAACAAATGCTAACTAGTTACGTAACAGGGCTGCCAGAGAGCAGGCTGAGGCTCCCTGGGATTTTCAGTGGCCCCTTTTCATTTCTTTCAACAACTATCAATTGAATACTTGCTATGTGCCGGGCCTGGGCCAGGCATGAAAGAGGAGGGCGAACGGGAGCTGTGAGCCTGGCGCATGCGGGGCCTTCCTTTGTGGATCTGTCTACAGCCATGACTCATGCTGGGAGGACCAGCAAGTTTAGAGTCCCCACTGTGGGACTTGCAACATCAGACGCAGTGGGCTCTTCTGCTCTTTCCTGCAGCTCCCATAGAAAAGTGCCATCCTTCCTTTTCAACTTTGCAAAGCAAAAGGGAAGTAGAATTGTGCCTTTTTTTGTACTGTTTTGTCAGTGAAGCCTTTATTCCTTTATTCCTTCAGGATCCACAAAGGATTTAAGGTGACCCCAAGACAGTACGTATTTGTTTCCCAGTGATTACTGAAACAAAATCTATGGGTGTCTCTCGGTTGGGAGGCTTGCTCAGTGCCATCCTGCCATAAATACAAGCTTAATTTGGAAAAATCCAATTGGGCTGGAGAGGAGGTGCTGTGTTGGCTTGGTTTCCAGAGGCTGTGAAATGACTCCTGATCCCTCACATCCGTTGCACTAGTAACTTTCATCTTGCCCCCGTATAGTAATGACTTGAAAGGAGATATTGGTGGGTTATTTGTTTGAGTCCCTTCCATAGACGCAACAAAAGAGATAAAGTGAAGTGGGTTTTCTCCATTCAAATGTCTGTTTTTTGGAGTTGTGTGGTTTTCTATACCACATAAAACTACAGGTAGGATTGGAAGGCTGTACTTGAAAGTCTCAATGTGTTTTTTTTTTGCGGGGGTGGGGCGGGGAGACAGAGTCTTGCTCTGTCACCACACTGGAGTGCTGTGGCACAGTCTCAGCTCACTGCAACTTCTGCCTCCTGGGTTCAAGTGCTTCTTGTGCCACTCAGCCTCCCAAGTAGATGGGACTACAGGTGTGCACCACTGCGTCCGGCCTCAATTTTTTTTTTTTTTTTTGACTGAATCCTTTAGCCACTATCAGGGAACTGTCCTCCTCGTCAGAAGGGGGAAACAGAATTCCTTCAATAGAGCATAGGAACTAAGCTCAGGTAGGCCTGAGATGGTCTCCCAGCCCAGCCACTTACAAGCCATTTGACCTTGGGCACGTCATGTAACATCGCTGAGTCCGTTTCATCATTTGTAAAATGGGATTCAAAGCAGTTACATTATTGACAAGATTAAGTGAGATAATGTGGGCGAAGCCCCTGCCTTTAATAGGGGCTCAGTAAATGATAGATTCTTAATAAATGTATCTAGGGTATCTTGGTTCCTGTGTAACTTCTTTTCTTTCATCTGTTGCCCAGAAGAACTACTGAGGTACATAGGAGATGCTCAGTAAATTTTTGTTAAATGATTTTTGTTAAATGAATGGCAGAGCTTCAGTACTTTCTTTGTCCTATTGTCTTTTTTTTTTCTGAGACAGAGTCTTGCTCTGTCTCCCAGGCTGGAGTGCAGTGGTGTGGTCTCAGCTTACTGCAGCCTCAGTCTCTTGGGTTCCAGTGATTCTCCTGCCTCACCCTCCCAAGTAACTGAGATTACAGGCACACACTACCACGCCTGGCTAATTTTTTGTATTTTTAGTAGAGATGGTTTTTACCATGTTGGCCAGGCTGGTTTCAAACTCCTGACCTCAGGTGATCCACCCGCCTCAGCCTCCCAAAGTGCTGGGATTACAGGCATGAGCTGTGGTGCCCAGCCCCTATTGTCTACAATAGTACTTCACGCTGTGAGCTTTGCGCTAGGAGATGTCCTGAGAGAGCCTTTAAGAAAACTGGCCAGGTAGATTTGGGAACTGCTGTAGAGTACAGATTCTAGCCCTTTCCAGAGATGAATCAGGCATGTTACTATTTTAGCAGCTTAGAAAAGTTGTGGGGAGAAGAAGTCTCCCTAGCCTTTTAAGCTTGGTATTTTCTAATCTTATTTGACTGTATAGGGTAATATCGTGCCTTGATGATGCTGTGATGAGGCTCCTAATGAGTTAATGTGTGCCAAGCATTTAGGACAGTGCTGAGCAAAGTGGGTCCCACAAAGGGGCTGCTGTAAGCCCATCCATCCTTGTGCAGATATTTTTGTGGGAAAGATTTCTAGAAGAGGCACATTCAAAAATTTGATGGGATCAGGTGTGGTGGCTCACACCTGTAATCCCAGCACTTTGGGAGGCCGAGGCAGGAGGATTGGCTGAGCCCAGGAGTTTGAGACCAGCCTGGGCAACATGGTGAGATCCCATCTCTGAAGAAAAAAAAAAAAAAAAGGTTGATAGATTCCTCAGAATTACTTTTCAAAATCTAATCTGCCATGATCTAAAGTTTGTTTCTCCAGGAAATAGATAAGCAGCTGTTTTCCTGTACCACATGTGTTCTGGATCCTTCTCCTCCCTCTGCACCATAACTGAAGATGGGATGGAGCATAACTGAAAGTCACCCCTCTCTTCTCTCTCTTGCAGAAGCCTGGCTACAGATAAGGGACCAAAATGACTGACTCAAAATATTTCACCACGACCAAGAAAGGTATTACTTGTTTAATAATGGGCCTTGTCCTATGCTTTCTCTTCCTGTCCCTTCTGTTTTCCTCCTATGGCGGTAGGGAGTAGGGGTGGGAATGAAGGCCTGGAAACATGTGGCAGGAATGGCCTAGAGCTTGTGGTAGATCTAGAAAATTGAACTGTTGATGATATAAGAAATTGACCACTCCTTTTAGAGCTCAGAAAGGGAAGAACATTAGCTCCAAGTGTGGGGAAAAAAAGTGCCCTTTTATTTCCCATGGCTTAAAATAATTATGTTTTTTTCCAGGGGAAAGAAAACACAGAATCCTATCAACACCCCCACAGCAGTTGTGTGTGTGTGTGTGTGTGTGTGTGTGTGTGTGTGTGTGTGTGTGTGTCCTTATCCAAGGGCACGTGTTTTTCTTTTTTTTTGAGACGGAGTTTCACTCATGTCACCCAGGCTGGAGTGCAGTGGTGCGATCTTGGCTCATTGCAACCTCCGCCTCTCGAGTTGAAGTTATTCTCCTGCCTCAGCCTCCGGAATTGCTGGGATTACATGCGCCCGCCGCTATGCCCAGCTAATTTTTCTTTCTTGTTTTTTTGAGACGGAGTTTCGCTCTTGTTGCCCAGGCTGGAGTGCAATGGCGCTGATCTCAGCTCACCACAACCTCCGCTTTCCAGGTTTAAGTGATACTCCTGCCTCAGCCTCCCAAGTAGCTGGGATTACACCACCATGCCCGGCTAATTTTGTATTTTTGGTAGAGACGGGGTTTCTCCATGTTGGTCAGGCTGGTCTGAAACTCCTGACCTCAGGTGATCCGCCCCCTCAGCCTCCCAAAGTGCTGGGATTACAGGCGTGAGCCACCGCGGCCGGTCAGGCATGTATTTTCATCGTTTTAATCCTGTTTTTCATTTGATGTTTTGATATCATAAACATTTCCCAACAATTCTAATGACTCACTATTAAGTCTATTGAGTAGCTACACTGAAATTTGCTAAGCTAGGCTTATATCATTGGGTATTTTGGTTGTTTCTGCTTTTAAGGAAATGGAGGATGTCGTCGTGGCTGACAAATGTGCTTTAACCCTGTAAGCATCTTTCTGGCCAGCCCTTTATTCCTCCCTCCTTCCTTCCAAGTGATACTGACACATGCCTGCCGACCAGATGAAAAGAGTCTGTTGCTGGATCAGCTGATCCAGGACCCGAAGTCTGCCCCTCATCAGGCATTTCATGTATTGGTCTAGCTGGTTTTTACTGAGAACCTACCATGTGCAGTGGAAAAGAAACAGAGCCTCTGACCTGGTGTTGCTCAAGGTTGAGCAGGGAAGACAGTCTGTAGAGTAGTAACCACACTGAAGTGTACTGGGTCCAGGGGGGACTGTGGGAGAGCTCTGGGTGGAGCTGGCCAGATCGATGGGGGATAGGAAGGGGAAGGAGTGAGTGCTGTGCCTGTGACACATTTGGGGAAAGGAAGGTAGTGGGCATGAGCTACCGAGGAGGGTGATACAAGAAGAGGTTAGAGCCAGGCACAGTGGCGCCCCAGGTGGTGGCTTGGGTGGGAGGATTACTTGCTTGAGCCCAGGAGTTCGAGTCTAGCCTGGGCAACTAATTGAAAAAAGAGAGAAAGCAATTGGAGAGGTACGCAGGGATCAGTCTTGTGGAGCCTGGTGAGCCACAGGGTGAACGTAGTGCTGAGTGTATTGGAGTCCCAGGGGTGGGTTTTGTTGTTTGTTTGTTTTTTTTTGAGACAGAGTCTCTGTCACCCAGGCTGGAGTGCAATGGGAAGATCTCTGCTCACTGCAGCCTCCTGGGTTCAAGCAATTCTCCCAAGTAGCTGGGACTACAGGCACGTGCCACCATGCCCAGCTATTTTTTTTATTTTGGGGTTGGGGTTTTTTAGTGGATTTCTTTTGGGAAGAGAGATGTGTGGACAGACATGCCTGGGTTCAATGCTCCAGCCAAAGAGACAAGGAAACAGGTTTAGGAAAGCAAAGTGGGTATCTTGGGTAGGCCCAAGCATAGGGATTGAGAGCATGGGCTTTGGAGCTAGCAGACCTGGTTTTCAGTTTCAGCCCTGCCCCCTACCAGCATTGGCTATACGTTACTGAGCCTCTCACAGCCTCCATTTGCAAAACGGAGGGAAATGCAGAGTTGTGAGGATGAAATAAGAAAATGTGTGGGAACAAGTTAGTATGGGACTAGGCTTAGAGAAGGGCTTAGAGGGGCCGGGCATGGTGGCTCAGGCCTGTAGTCTCAACACTTTGGGAGGCTGAGGCGGGTGGATCACCTGAGGTCAGGAGTTTGAGACCAGCCGGGCCAACATGGTGAAACCCCGTCTCTACTAAAAATACAAAAATTAGGAGGGTTTGATGGTGTCCGCCTATAGTTCCAGCTATTTGGGAGGCTGAGGCAGCAGAATTGCTTGAACCCGGGAGGCGGAAGTTGCGGTGAGCCGAGATCGCACCGCTGCACTCCAGCCTGGGTGACAGAGTGAGACTATGTCTCAAAAAAAAAAAATGGCCGGGCGTGGTGGCTCATGCCTGTAATCCCAGTGCTTTGGGAGACCAAGGCGGGCGGATCACGAGATCAGTTCAAGACCAGCCTGACCAACATGGTGAAACCCCGTCTGTACTAAAAATACAAAAATTAGCTGGGTGTGATGGCGCACGCCTGTAGTCCCAGCTACCCGGTATGCTGAGGCAGGAGAATTGCTGGAACCCAGGAGGCAGAAGTTGCAGTGAGCTGAGATGGGGCCACTGCACTCCAGCATGGGTGACAGAGCAAGACTCTGTCTCAAAAAAATAAAAAATAAAAGAGAAGGGGTCAGGAAATGACATCTGCCCTCCTAACCTGTTATCAGGGTCCTGACTATCTGTCCATGGCAGGGCCAGACAACCCTGCTTCCTCATTTGTTTTTTTCATGTCATGAAGTTCTTCAGAACAATTGATTTCATGCTTGAGCTCTCATGGAGCAGCTGAATTCCTGTTTTCAGAGCTGAGCAACCAACCACTTGTGTCTCAGGAAGTGAAACCCTGAACAAGCTGTTTTAATTAGAGGTTTGAGGAAAACAGGAAAGGCCTTCATGTGGGAATCCACAAATCCTGCTCTCACCCCGCAAGCCTTAAGTACTCAGGTTCTATTGCACTGAGCCTTTTAAGGGTCTTTTGTTGAGTGAGGGTAGCTGAGGACAGCTTTGCCTTCCACTGGGGTTTTAGCTCCCTGGCTGAGCAGAGCCTGCCATCATGTTTTTGATGCTTTTGTCTTCCTCAGAACCTTTGTAGCTTCCATGGTTCCTGTTGCTTCAATCCAGAGTGGCCTCTAAACTTTTTTTTTTTGGAGACAGGATCTCACTTTGTGTCCCCCAGGCTGGAGTGTAGTGGTGTCATGGCTCACGGCAACCTCGATCTCTGGGCTCAAACGATTCTTCAGCCTCAGCCTCCAGAGTAGCTGGCACGGCAGGCACATGCCACCACACCCGGCTAATTAAAAAAAATTATTTTGTAGAAACGAGGTCTCACTATGTTACCCAGGCTGATCTCAAACTCCTGAGCTCAAGTAATCCTCAGCCTCTTTTTTTTTTTTTGAGATGGAGTCTTGGCCCTGTCGCCAGGCTGGAGTGCAGTGGCGCCATCTTGCCTCACTGCAACCTCCACCTCCCGGATTCAAGCAATTCCCCTGCCTCAGCCTCCCGAGTAGCTGGGATTACAGGCACGCGCCACTATGCCCGGCTAATTTTTTGTATTTTAATAGAGACAAGGTTTCACTATGTTGGCCAGGATGGTCTTGATCTTCTGACCTCGTGATCCGCCTGCCTCGGACTCCCAAAGTGCTGGGATTACAGGCATGAGCCACTGTGCTGGCCAATCCTCAGCATTTTAAAGTGCTGGGATTACAGGTATGAGCGACTGCACCCGGCCTACAAGTTTCCATCTTGTTAATTCCTGTCCTAACAGTCATCCCTCACTGTTGCCTGGCCCACCTGAGGCCAGGCGCCTGAAGCTTCCCTCAGCCAACAGCATAGGATGTCTTACGTGCCTCCCTCCGGTTCTTTTGGAAGTTAGATACTGGGAATTGTCCCCTGCCAGGGTAGGGAGGGATCACTCATGCTTGCCTCCTTTCCTTAGGGGAGATCTTCGAGCTGAAGGCAGAGCTCAACAGTGACAAGAAGGAGAAGAAGAAGGAGGCAGTGAAGAAAGTGATTGCATCGATGACCGTGGGCAAAGATGTCAGGTGTGCAGGAGTAGGCCTGGTGGCAGCTAGAAGCTGGCTGACAGGGGAGGGTTTATAGCTTGGGTCCACTTCAGTCTCTCCTTTAGGGTGTCTAGGGACCCATGTCTCCCCTCATACAGCTCCCTTCATAAAACTTTCTTCCCAATAGAAGGTTTTGTTTACACAGGAATCATGAGCCCAGACACTGACAGGTCAGGTGGTTATGGAGTGAGTTAACTGGAGTAGGTGGGAAAGGCAGCAGGCAATGGAGTGGGTGTGGCATGAACCCTCTCAGAAACTCCAGAGGATCAGTACTGGCTGGGGAAGAGGACCCAGTGTGGCCAGGTCTTCTGGTTTTTAAAAGAATGGGAAATCTGGGCCAGGCGCGGTGGCTCACGCCTGTAATCCTAGCACTTGGGGAGGCCCAGGCGGGCGGATCTCGAGGTCAGGAGTTCGACACCAGCCTGGCCAATATGGTGATATCCTGTCTCTACTAAAAATACAAAAAGTAGCCGGGCATGGTGGCGCATGCCTGTAGTCTCAGCTACTCGGGAGGCTGAGGCAGGAGAATTGCTTGAACCTGGGAGACACAGGGTGCATTCAGCTGAGATTGTGCCACTGCAGTCCAGCCCAGGTGACAGAGCGAGACTCAGTCTCAAAAAAAAAAAAAGAAGAATGGGAAATCTGGATTTTTCATTTTAAATCTCCCTGTCTTAAGTGGCCAGATGATATTAAACAAACACTGTGTGGTGCAAGTAAAACACACGTGCAGATTGGATTTCTCTAATTTGTCACCGGTGTGCAGCCTCTGTCGCACCTGATGGCTAAAGCCGGTTGTGTGTAGAGCGGCTGCCGCACCTTGGCTCATGCTTCCCCTGTGGGAGCGCCCAGTGACCCAGCTTGTCTTCCCATCTTTAAAAACCCATTCGAGGCCGGATGTGGTGGCTCACACCTGTAATCCTAGCACTTTGGGAGGCCGAGGCGGGTGGATCACGAGGTCAGGAGTTCAAGACCAGCCTGGCCAACATGGTGAAACCCCGTCTCTACTAAAAATACAAAAATTAGCCAAGCGTGGTGGTGGGCACCTGTAATCCCAGCTACTTGGGAGGCTGAGGCAGAGAATTGCTGGAACCTGGGAGGCAGAGGCTGCAGTGAGCCAAGATCACGCCACTGCACTCCAGCCTGGGCAACAGAGCAAGACTCCATCTCAAAAAAAAAAAACATTCAAGGTCTGCCTTCCCTGTGTTTCCTTCCCTGATCACCCCAGCCCACTACCTCAAACTCAAAGCATTTGCTGTCTGTTCCCATCACCCAGCACTAAATGGAAACTGTTCTCTTGTTATGTGTACTTGTGTTTACCTGCTCACCAGATTGTAAAATCTCAAAGGCAGAGACTGGATTTTAAAACAGCTTGATATTTGCACAGTATTTGAGAGTCTGCACAGAACATTTTGAGATTTGTTTTCTCAGTAGTTCCTTACAATTCCCATATTGTAGGTAATGACAGTTTTACTGCCAAAGAAATAAAAACATAAAGTGACTGCCTAAGAGTCACATGGTTTATGGCAGAACTAGGACTCAAGCCCAGTTCTTCTGAAATCCAAATCCAGGCCACTTTCACCCATGCCCTCGTGGTGCCCAGCCCTGTGCCTCATAACCCGGGTGCTGAGGTGGAGCAGCTCCCATCCAGGTCCCAAGATAGGCTCCCACTGCTCCAGACGTCCCCATGGATCGCCCCCCAAGCAAAGGACCTCCTGCCAGCAGCTCCGGGAAGGGGCTCTGCAGAGAGCCCTTTGGAAGCCAGAGCAGAAAGGAAACAGGTACCTGCTGGACAACTGGGCCTCCTTCCAAGTCAGATTCCTTCCAGGACAAAGCTGCTCTCCTTCACCCAGCACACCACTGTCACCTCCTCACAGAGGAGAAACATCTTTGTTCTTCCATCTCAAAAGAGCTGGCTTTGCTGATATGATAAGCCCCAAAGAGCGAGTCGGCCTCATCAGCAGTTTTTCCTCCTCCCTCCTCCCCATTCTTCCTGGTGCATCATCTTCCAAGGTGACACATAAATTTTGGCTTTGGCAGGACTCCTGCCTGTTGGGGATCAGGAAGTTCACTTTGACCTCCTAAGTCTCTATGTTGACACGTCCTTTCCTATAAACACATAAGAATTGAGAGGGGATATGATGATTTCAGAGATAGAAAATTGATCTCTAACCAAATTTCACATCTTAAGAAGGCCTGTGACTCTGGGACCACGGGTACCATGTTGAGAAGGGTTCCACCCAGTGGTCATGAGCACGGACCTTGTTCTCAGACCTGATTCCTCCAGGCAGGTTATTTGACATTTATGAACCTCAGTGTTCTCTGAAATGGGGATCATCCCCTGACTTCTGAGGGCAGTTAAATGAGATCAAGCATGTAAAGCTCTTAGCACCAAGCCTGGTGTATGGTGTGTGCTCCATGCATGCTGTGCTGGTTCTTACCGGGTGCCAGAGCTTGTGGAGAAAGCAGCATGAGCCATCCTGCTTCCCTGCGACCCTCCAGAACCAGCAGCCCAATGTAAGGGGCCACATTAAGTATCAGAGAGGGAGAAAGGATCATTTTCATTTACTCAGCATCTCCCAGATATCAAGGACCAGATACCTAAGTATGTTGTCTCATTCAGTTATCATAAAGGCCCTGTGAAGTGAGTTTCTGTTGCGTCTTTCTTGGAAGTTAGAAAATTGAGACTCAGGGCGAGGGGGCAGGTGACAAAGGAATTTCTCCAATGTCATATAGCTAGCAAGAGGCAGTGGTGGGTTTGATGGGCTCCAGAACTCATGTTTGAACTATATGAAAAGAATCAAGGACTTTCCTGCTTTTAAAATTACCCTTTGGGATTCCCTTTCTATCAATAGGTGTTGATTGTTAACAGCAGACCTGAAACCCTCCCTTTTACCAGGAAGTCCAGTGTGTCTCTCCTTTCTCTCCTACCCACTGTCCTCTCACCCACTAGTTAGCAGCCTGAAAATCTTCCTCTTCCTTTGTTCAGCCTTTCCCATGCTGACACCATTTTGACCTTCCAGTGCCCTCTTCCCCGATGTGGTCAACTGCATGCAGACGGACAACCTGGAGCTGAAGAAGCTAGTATACCTCTACTTGATGAATTACGCCAAGAGTCAGCCTGACATGGCCATTATGGCCGTCAACACCTTTGTGAAGGTGAGCAGACGCTTGGTGGGCGTGGGGACATTGGGTGCTTAAGGCTCTGTCTCCCCTCAGTCTCTTTGGGGCGGGGCCCTGTGGCACTGGATGGAGTCCAGACCTTCAGACTGCCCGCGCCCGCCCAGCCTGCAGGCCTCTTCCTCCAGCAGAGGGCTCCCACTCTCCAGAAAATCAGATGCTAAGGACCCTGCGTAACTCATCCTGTGTGAGGTCCTGCCAGGCCTGTTGATCCCCTCACTGCCCTGATTGGACCCTGCCCTGCATGCTTTGCTAGGGCAGGAATCAGCAGGTGCCCGAGAGCTTCTCTGTTGCCCTTACAGACTGCTGCTTTCTCCATTTTCTGTCCTTCAGATTAAATTGTCAGCTCTGTGCACCTATATTTTAATTTTATTTTCTCCTAATGTTCAGTACCTCTGAATTTGTATACCTTTAGAACCTTAGCTCCCCTGAGTCCTGTCCGTGCTCGGATATGGGGAAATGAGGCTTCTGTGGCCCAGTGGAAAGACCGAGGGCTGTGATGCTAGGTGGATGTGGGTTTGAATCACGGCTCTGCTCTGTGGCTTCAGATGAGCTCCTAGCCTTTCTGAGAGCCTCAGTTTCATCATCTATAAAATGGGACCCGTATTGTATTTCTACTGTGAGGATCAGAGGAGATGGTGTGCAGAGCTGGCATGGGTGCTGGTTATATAGCATTTACTTTTGCTGTTGTTGGCTGTAGTTGGTGAAGATCCACAGCAGCCATCTGATGTCGCTCAGCCTAGCAGGGCTCAGAGCTGCAGGCCAGGGAGAATATGAAGCCACAGATGGCTCATCCCACCCCTGCCCTGGCCGATGGCTGGTTCCCCCCAGGACTGTGAGGACCCCAACCCCCTCATCCGAGCCCTGGCAGTGCGGACCATGGGCTGCATCCGCGTTGACAAGATCACAGAGTACCTGTGCGAGCCACTCCGGAAGTGCCTGAAGGACGAGGATCCATATGTGCGCAAGACAGCAGCTGTGTGCGTGGCCAAGCTCCACGACATCAACGCCCAGCTGGTGGAGGACCAGGGCTTCCTGGACACCCTTAAAGACCTCATCTCCGACTCTAACCCCATGGTAAGCCACTGCCACCCACCGTGCTACCTCCACCACCTCCTGGGTTGCTTGGGAAGACATTGGCTTGACTCTTCACCAGGCAGTCCTGAGTACCTAGAAGTCGGAGCCTGGCTGGGGGTGCCAGTTGTTCTTGTGCCTTTTGGTGGTTCAGGCACCCTCTCTGGAGGGAGCTAGACCTAGATTCCCTTCTCCTCACCCTCTGACTAGCTGCGCAACCTGGGGCAAGCTGCCTAGGCTCTCTTTTCTTCATCAGTGAGATGGATCTCATTCTACGTGGCTGGCAGGAGTGCTGTGAAGGTGACGTGCCTGGGATGGCCTGGTAACGGTGCACCATCAATACTAGTGCCCTCCTTCCCCTTCTAGTCACTGTTATTGTTGCTGTCTTCTCACCAAGCCAATATGCTGCATGTGTGGTGCTTTTCCCTTCCCCCATCTTTGTTGGGTTGTAGAGGGTCACCCTTGAAGTAGCATAGCCTGGAAGACAGGACATCAGGATGTAGCTGGATGTGGAACCCCACAGTCCCCTTACCCACAATGGTGGCAGCAGTTTGGAGGGCAGTTTGGCAGGGCCTGTTTAAAATGAATGCACAAACCCAGCCATTCCCCACTCTGAGCAGAAACACTGAGCAACTGCCATACACAGTACTGAGCGGCCAGTACAGGGATGGGTACTGGAGCACTGGATGGTTCACAGAGAAAAGTTGGAAACAATGCAGAACACCCTTAAAAACAGCTGCCTGGGCCGGGTGCAGTGGCTCACGCCTGTAATCCCAGCACTTTGGGAGGCTGAGGTGGGTGGATTACGAGGTCAGGAGATTGAGACCATCCTGGCCAACATGGTGAAACCCCATCTCTACTCAAAATACAAAAATTAGCCGGGTGTGGTGGCATGTGCCTGTAATCCCAGCTACTCAGGAGGCTGAAGCAGGAGAATCACTTGTACCCAGGAAGTCGGAGGTTGCAGTGAGCTAAGACTGCGTCACTGTACTCCAGCCTGGCGACAGAGCTAGACTCCGTCTCAAAAAAAAAAAAAAAAACAGCTGCCTGAGGCCGCGCGCAGTGGCTCATACAGGATTACATGCCTGTAATCCCAGCTATTTGGGAGGCTGAGGCGGGTGGATCACCTGAGGTCAGGAATTCAAGACCAGCCTGGCCAACATAGTGAAACCCTGTCTCTACTAAAAATATAAAAATTAGCTGGGCATGGTGGTGCGTGCCTGTAATCTCAGCTACCTGGGAGGCTGAGGCAGGAGGATTGCTTGAGCCCAGGAGGCAGAGGTTGCAGTAAGCCAAGATTGCACCACTACACTCCAGACTGGGCAACACAGTGAGACTCAATCTCAAAAACAACAAAAACAAGCTATGTGCAGTGGCTCACGCCTATAATCCTAGCACTTTGGGAGGTTGAGGTGGGAGGATCACCTGAGGTCAGGAGTCTGAGACTAGCCTGGCCAACATGGCGAAACCCCATCTCTACTAAAAATACAAAAATCAGCTGAGTGTGGTGGTGCATGCCTGTAATCAGTCCCAGCTACTCGGGAGGCTGAGGCATGAGAATCACTTGAACCCAAGAGGTGGAGGTTGCAGTGAGCTGAGATCACACCACTGCACTGCAACCTGGGCGACAGAGCACAACTCCATCTCAAAAAAAAAAAACAAAAAACAAAAAAAAACACCTTCCTAGTGGAAATGGATTGAGGGCCTGGAGCTTCACCTGGCAAGCCCCCATCCACTCCCAGTAGCCTCGAGGAGCTCTGCAGGAATCCCCTAGCTCTGAGAAGCACAGCTGACAAGCATTGAAGTGAGGTGCTGTTGCTGGTAGACAGGCGCTGCTGTGTTAGGAAGCTGAGAATGCTTTCTGTGGCTAAGCCCTTGGAGCTAGGTCTTTCTTGTTTTTCTAAATGGCAGGCACACTTGTTTTGTTCCAGTTTGCAGAGGAGTCAGCAGGGTGAGTGCTTGGAGTGGGTCTCGTTGCAGCTCCAGACCCTGCCCATTGGGTCATATTCCTTTCAGGATATTTGACCTCTGACCAGCCAGCATCATTAATGCACTGCCCCCTGGCCTGTGAGCAGCACCCCCAGCCTCTGCCCCTCCCACCCTCTCAACCAGGTGGTGGCCAATGCAGTGGCAGCGCTCTCAGAAATTGCCGAGTCTCACCCCAGCAGCAACCTGCTCGATCTGAACCCACAGTCCATCAACAAGCTGCTGACAGCCCTCAATGAGTGCACCGAGTGGGGCCAGATCTTCATCCTGGACTGCCTCGCCAACTATATGCCCAAGGACGACCGCGAGGCCCAGAGGTGAGCGGGCTGCCCGTTGCTTGCCAGCCCAGCTTGAGGACCCTGGTCCTCAGGGGCTCCAACCAGGCACTGGGCCTTGGGCCTTAGTGGGCCCCTTTCTAGTGCTTTGCCCCATAACCCACCCTCAGACACACCTAAAGGGAGGCCTGCCTGCTTCCCACCTCTCCAGAGCCAGGTAGACAGGAGAGTTGCCTTGGGCAGCTATGGGCATACGCATGGCCTGGCCTTGGAGCTGGCAGAAGCCCAGGGCACCTCTTTTGAGTTCAATAGGTGGGTAGCGCCAGAGCCACTGCTCATTGAATTCTCACTGGGTGTCTGGGGCTCTGCCGGGTGCTTTCCACACTTTAGAGTCTTTAATGCAACTTTTATCATCATCCCCCACTTTCCAGATGAGGGAGCTCCAGCTTAGAGAGGTGGAGGGAATAGTGCAGGTCCCCTGGCTGGGGCTCACCTGACTCATGGTCTTAACCAACAAGATACCCTCCAAGTCGGAGGAAGTGAGGAGTTGCCATCTATACAGTATGTACTACATGCCAGTACTGTGCTTGTTCTTTTTTTTTTTTTTTTTGGCAGGGTCTCTGTTCTGCAGGCTGGAGCTGCAGCCCCAACCTGCAGGGCTCAATCAATTCTCCCAGGTAGCTGGGACTACAGACATCTGCATGCCAACATGAGCAGCTAATTTTTATATTTTGTATAGAGACAGGTTTTCTCCATGTTGCCCAGACTGGTCTCAAACTCCTGGGATCAAGCAATCCACCCATCTCAGCCTCACCCAGCCTTGTTCTTTACATGCGTTGTGTCAGTTAAGCCCCTAGCAACCCTGTGAAGTAGGCATCATCATCTTGATTCTATAAATGAAGAAACTGAGGCTCAGAGTGATTTGAACCTGCTAGGGGTTATCAAGCAGCAGAACCAAGATTTAGATCTTTCTCCTACAAAAAACATGTTTGTTTGTTTGTTTGTTTATGACAGGGTCTCGCTCTGTTGCCCAGGCCAGAGTGCAGTGTCACAGTCTCAGCTCACTGCAGCCTCAAACTCCTGGGCTCAAAGCAGTCCTCCTGCGTCAGCCTCCCAAGTAGCTGGGACTACAGGCATGCACCACCATACTCAGCTAATGTGTAAAATTATTTTTAGTAGAGAAGGGTCTCATGATTTTGCCCAGGCTGAACATGCTATTTTTTTTTTTTTCGAGACAGGGTCTCACTCTGTTGCCCAGGCTGGAGTGCAATGGCGCGATCTCGGCTCACTGTAACCTCCACCTCCTGGGTTCAAGCGATTCTCATGTCTCAGCCTCCTGAGTACCTGGGACTACAGGTGCTTACCACCATGCCCAGCTAATTTTTATATTTTTTGGTAGAGACAAAGTTTTACCATGTTGGCCAGGCTTGTCTCAAACTCCTGACCTCAAGTGATCCACCCACCTCGGCCTCCCAAAGTGCTGGGATTACAGGCGTGAACTATCACGCCTGGCCTGGACATGCTATTTTGGTAACTAAAAACAGAATGTTTCCCCTTGTCTTTCCTGTTTGCCCCGTTGGAATGGACGGACCCCAGCATCTGTGAGCGGGTCACCCCCAGGCTCTCCCATGCCAACTCCGCTGTGGTGCTCTCTGCTGTGAAGGTGCTGATGAAGTTCATGGAGATGTTGTCTAAGGACTTGGACTACTACGGCACACTGCTCAAGAAGCTGGCCCCACCCCTGGTCACACTGCTGTCAGCCGAGCCAGAGCTGCAGTATGTGGCCCTGCGCAACATCAATCTCATCGTGCAGAAAAGGTACTGAGGTCACCACACGCACGTCCATGCGTACCCCTCGGGGAGCCTCTTCTGCTGGGAATGGGGGCTCTCAAAGGAAACTGACCTGTCACCATGCAGGAAGTCTCAAATAGCTTAACCCAGAATAGCTTAACCAAAGTGGCAGCTTTGCCCCCCTGAGGGATATTTGGTGGTGTCTGGAGATACTTTGGTTTTCACAGCTGAGGGGGGCATGCTACCGGCTTCTAGTGGGCAGAGGCTAGGAGTGCTGGTCAGCATCCTACAGTGCACAGAATAGCCCCTCACAGTAACTGTCCAGCCCGAAATGTCAGCAGTGCTGAGGTTGAGAAGCCCTGGCTTAACCTAACTAGGAAGCAGGCTATGTAAAGACTAGCTTGGTGATTAAACTAGATATTGTCTTCATAGTCCACGAGCTGTCCTGAAATGGGCTGTCAGATTTTGTGTATCTGTGTACATTTCTTCGGGGGACAGAGTCCGTAGCTCTAGTCAAACTCTCTGAGGTTGGAACCTTGAGGTCTGGGGGAGAGGTACATCGGACTCACTCCAAATGCTGTGCCGCCCACTTCCCTCCCATGAGAATGGCTGAGCAGTGAGCTGCTGCTCCCAGGGCACGTGGTATGGTAGTGGGGGGTAGGCGAGAGCAGAAAAACCATTGAGCAGTGCTGGATCGGAGGGGTTCATGGCATGATCCCCTTCTTCCTCTGAAGTGGCTCTGAGTGGCAGAGCCCTGCAGCTCTGGGGAGGGGGATTGACCTTGAGTTCTCCTCACAGCTTTTGGTCAAATGGCTCAGTCAGCAGTGGGGACTTGACAGTAGCAACCATTGATCATTCGTGGGGACTTGACAGTAGCAACCATTGATCATTCGTATGTTACAGCAGGCCCTGTGGCTGGGAGTGGGGCTACACAGAGAACTGGGGCCTCATTAGTCATTTTCTCTTGGAAGACAGCACATCCTCCTGGTTGTAGCTTCAGTCTGGGTCTTAGTACTCTCCCGGGGGACCCAGAGATATTGGTCGAATTGGGTTATTAGGGAGGTAAATATGGGAAAGCCTTCTGAGTTCCTAAACCAAGGGATGAAACTAGGGCTTCCTGGTTGCAGTGTGGGTCTTTATACGCCAGTGCCCTTGGGTCACGGATTTAATGCGGCGTAGTGACTAGTAGAGCAGATCAGCGTGCAGGATTCCCTGTGCTATATTTAACATAGTAAATCTCTTAAGAATTTGTCCACGTCACTGAGACATGCCCTGCCCTGGTCCTGAGATGTGGCTGGGCAGCTTTTGCCAAGTCCTAATCGCAGAAATATCTTCCTGCTACCCAGCTCGGGGTCTTGCCTCTCCCATGGGGCACGACAAAGGCTCCTTGCTTGGCCAGGACCTCCCCGCAGTGTGCACAGCAGCACAGAGTACCCAGTTTTCTCCTTTCTCTCTGTCCTGTCTTCTCCCTTCCTCACCATCTGTCCTCGTATCTTTTCCTTCCTCCTCTCTGTTCTGGAAGGGCATAGGAGTAGGAGTCAGAGGCAGAGGATTCTCGCCCCACTCTCGTCTTTACTGACATTAGCCATGTGACCTAGTACCAGCCTCTCACCCTCTCTGAAGTTTCCTTGTTCAGGAAAAATGTGGTGGGTGATACTCGCGGAAGGCAGAAGGATGTTGCCTTTGAGGGAGGAACAATGACACATGTGAAAGGGCTCAGCTAGTGACAGCTCCTGCCTAGCGGTGCCTTCTCTGAGGCAGGCATCGATCATGCTGGATGCTTCTCGTCTCACTCTCACAGCAGGCCGATTAGGTCGGTGTCCATGTTGGGGTCCCAAGACCACCCTCATGCTCAGGTTTCACTAGCAGTACTCACAGGACTCAGCATATATTTTTTAAATATATATATTTTTTGAGACAGGGTCTCACTCTGTTGCCGAGGCTCGTCTTGAACTCCTGGACTCAAGCAATCCTCCTGCCCCAGCCTCCCAAAGTGTTGGGATGACAGGCATGAGCTGCTGTGCCCAGCCAGGACTCAGCATATAGCTATACCCACAGCAAAGATCTATCAGCAGCAGAGCAGGGCTGCCCGGCTGGGTCATAGGGGAGAAGGACACAGGTGGAGTCTGGAGGGTTCCATGAGAGGCTTCCTTGTACCTCCTCCTTCCCATGGGGAGTCATACAGAGCACACTCCTCCCCCAACAAAATGCAGCAACATGTATGTAATGTTTCTGCCCAGGAAAGCCTATTTGAGACTTCGGCACCCAAGTTTGTTATTGGGGGCACCTACACAAATTCCATATTCCCAGTAGGGAAGCATGTGTTCAGCATAAACTGTATTCTTTGTACAAATGGTCTAGGTACAGTTAAATACCTTTATCATTTAGGGAACAGTGAGAACACTTCAAAATCCAAGTTGCCACGTGCCAGGCCTTCTGAGGCTAGCAGTCCCAGACCTGCAGTAGTAACATGTTTCTGTACAGCGTCATTCCCATTTCATGGGTGAGGAAACAGGCCTGAGGTCACAGGCTGGGACTGGGACTGAGATATGTCTGATTCCCAAGCCCGTCCCATGGGGCCTGCTGCCTCTGGAGAGTGAGTGAGCCGTCTCTCACTGCCCTCCGTCTCCCTTCCGGCGACGTGCTCAGGCACACAGGAGCAGTCACAGCCTTGCTCAGGCCGGTTGCTGGGCCCTCTACCCAGGAGCTTGCAGCCATGGCAGTGACTCTGCCTTCACAGACATCAGGCTCCACCTCAGACCCCAGAAATGTCCCAGCAAATGTGGAGGGCATTTTCTCACAGGGCTTAAGCCTTGTTTTTTGCTCTCCGGGCATCCTGCCCCACCACCAGGCCTGAGATCCTGAAGCATGAGATGAAGGTGTTCTTCGTGAAGTACAACGACCCTATCTACGTGAAGCTGGAGAAGCTGGACATCATGATCCGCCTGGCCTCTCAGGCCAACATCGCCCAGGTCAGCTGCGTGTGATGGTCAGGACACGGGCTCAGTGTGGGACCATTCCACCACCACCAGACTGTAGGCTCTGGCCCAGGTGACCAGTCTCACCATTAACGGTTTATCTCATGAAGAGTGTTTAGCATGGGACATGGGGCTTCGTAAGCAAGTAAAAGAACTGATGTTTTTATTACTAAAGAATGTTTCTCCATGTTATCACCTGTCATCCCTTACAACGTGGTGTTGGATATGTTAGCTAAATCAACCCCAAACAAGGTTGTCCAGGCCTTCTTTCCTTTTCAGGCACCTGCCAGCTCTCTCCCTTGGGCCTTCTACCTGGAGCAGGAGGCAGAATCCCATTCTCCTAGGGAGTCTGTGTATATTCACTGCCCAGGAGTGTTCCAGCAGATTGCCCCATCAGGTGCCCCAGCCCCATCTTTTCTGTTTGGGCCACAGGTGTTGGCAGAGCTGAAAGAGTACGCAACAGAAGTGGATGTGGACTTTGTACGGAAGGCTGTGCGTGCTATTGGCCGCTGCGCCATCAAGGTGGAGGTGAGGCTCTGGGACTCTGTCCTTGGCTGGAGAAGGAAAAGGGGGCTGAAACCGGGAAACCAGTCTGATTCAAGCAGAATCTGCCAGCTTGCTTGTGGTCTGGGAAGGCCTGAGGCTCATCACTGGAGCCCCCATGGCAAGCATTGTGCAGATCTGGTGGGGTTCCTTCTCACTCTATAGTATCCTTTAGGCCTTCGAGTTGCTGCCGATCAAATTAACCCATCATAATCATGGTTCTCCTGCAGCATTTGTTAAGATGCTGGGGCAGCCACAAGTTAATGGACTTAGCATTCACTTCACAGAGCTCTGGGGTAAGGGCCCTGCCTGTTGAACACTTCTTGGCAAATATTGTCATCATTCAGCTGCCCACGTGCCTCTGTGTCCCAGCGTCCCAGGGCCACTCTAGACTCCTGTGTCCTGGCATTTTATCCCCGTCCTTTCTCTGTCTGTGGAGATGTTCCTCGACCACTAAGCCAGATTCTCCTTAAATGGGTCCACTGGTGGCTACAGTGTCCTAGGATAGGTGGTCGCCCCCGACCTATCCCCTTGAGGCGTGCTCACCCTGGAGCCTATGATGCCGTCCTGAGAAATCTCCTTCAGAGCAGGCCGTGAGAGCAGTGTGTGGAAGTAAAGGCAGAAGCAGTCAGAGGTTCTGTGAGTGTTTTTGGACATAGGAGCCCCCTTTCTGAAACAAGTAAAAAGAGAGGTGGGGTTGGACTGCAGCGTAGTCACCTTGCCCTCAGGTCCTGACTTAGAGGAGCTCCAAGGACCCTCCTGGCTCTCAGGAACTCTTCCTCTGGCTTCTCCTCAGTCTCATTCCCCATGTCCCCACCATCCTAGGGCCATGATTTGGTACTGGTTCTCTCCTGTTACCTGGGGAGAGGGTTCTCCTGTTTTCCCACTGTGATGAGGAAGGTGTGCCAGAAGTGATTTGCAGCCCTTGGCCGAGGCGTGGACATCAGAGGCTCTACTGGAAATGGGGTGCGGGGACCTCGCCCACACTCTTCTCTTCCCATGCAGCAATCTGCGGAGCGCTGTGTGAGCACGCTGCTCGACCTCATCCAGACCAAGGTCAACTATGTGGTCCAGGAGGCCATCGTGGTCATCAAGGACATCTTCCGCAAGTACCCCAACAAGTGCGTGCCCGCCCTCCTAGGGAGAGGGCATCTAGCTCTGCCTGGGGACAGGGATGGCGGGGCAGAAAAGGAAGGAGGAATCTCCTCTTCCTTACTTCTTGGCCACAAGCGTCATTCTCAAAAGAAACCCTTTGTTTTTTATTTCGTCCACACTGCCCCTCCTCTACTCCCCAGGCCAAAATAAGGGCTAACGTGTGACAGATGAAACTCAGATCCCCAGGCCAGGTGTGGTGGCTCTTGCCTGTAATCCCAGCACTTTGGGAGGCCGAGGCGGGTGGATTGCCTGAGATCAGGAGTTCAAGACTAGTCTAGCCAACATAGTGAAACCATGTTTCTACTAAAAATACAAAAAAATTAGCTGGATGTGGTGGCATGTCCCTGTAATCCCAGCTACTTGGGAGGCTGAGGCAGGGGCATTGCTTGAACCAGGGAGGTGGAGGTTGCAGTGAGGTGAGATCACACCACTGCACACCAGCCTGGGCAACAGAGTGAAACTCCATCTCAAAAAAAAAAACAAAACTCAGATCCCCTTTACCTGCCACCTTGGGGTCTTAGGAGGCAGGTCCCCTTCCCTCCTGGCCCCTGTCTGGCTTCCCTGGGTTTCCCGTTCTCCTTGAGGGCTCCCATACCAACTGTGCCCTGGTCTCCCAGGTATGAGAGTGTGATTGCCACACTGTGTGAGAATCTGGACTCCCTGGATGAGCCTGAGGCCCGGGCTGCCATGATCTGGATTGTGGGCGAGTACGCGGAACGGATCGACAACGCAGATGAGCTGCTGGAGAGCTTCCTCGAGGGCTTCCATGACGAGAGCACACAGGTGAGCCAGCGAGCTGGCCAGGGTGTGAGTCATGACTGGCAGCTCAGCCCCACTGTGGCCCATACTGCCATGAAACCCTCCCTTCCTATTACCTCGTAAACAGCCCTGACAGACAGATGAGTGATGTGCGCGTAATGGACACCGCCCCTTTTCCTCCTCACTGCAGTACAGTCGAGTCGGGGACACGTGAGAGTCTGTGGTGGTGTGCGTGGAAGGCAGGCAAAAGTTCTTCATTTTGTTTTAATTCCATAGTCATATTTTAATAGGAAATATATTGACTTGGTTTAAAATTGATACAAAAGCATATATAGTGAAAAGTTTCCCTCTCATCACTTTGTAGGACACAAATTCTCCTCCCAGAAGTCATCACTTTTTTGATTTCTTAGGAAAGTTCAGGAGATCATTTAGGAATACACCAGTAGACCCACAGATACACACACATGCACCCATCCTTCCTATACACACATACACACACATATGCAACCAATTCTTATTTTTCATGGTGCTTCTGTTCCATAGTCATGGCAGACACTGAATTAGCAAGTACTGAACCATAGCTCCTAGGAGAAATATAGAGTTTAGTTTCTGTGAGCATCTAGACCCAACGTTTTTGTCAATTGATCAGTTAATAACCTTTTTAAATGTGTGTTTCTGTTTAAAAACACCTTAGTTAATATATATTGTCAATTCATTGACATTGAACTCATGGCCATGGATACTGTAATTCATGCCTTAGCGAAGCTTATCAAGGACATGTTTTCTCTGAGGCACATCACAGCCTTCTGTGCTTGGGGACACTAGGCAAGCACTTCAGTGCTAGGGAGCATTTTAAACAAGGAAATCAACAAAAAGCTCAAAAATGTGAAAAACATGGCACTAAATAGGTGGTGGAAAGGATGCTTGTTTACAGGATGAGAGCTGAAACATGAGTGTTGCCTTATTTGACCTCAGCTGTGAATGTGTGTGTCAGGCAACTGAAAGCTTTCACGGTTCTGCACGTATTTGCAAATGACTGCAAAGGCACCATGAGTCTTGATTTGGGGGCTACAAGTAAATTTTAGCAAGTAGGCAGATTCACAAACATGGATTGCTCAAGTAGTGAGAATCAACTGTATCTACACTGCCCTCTCATTTATTTTTAAACACTGCTGTAGCATACTCTGTAAATTCAAATTGTTTAGCACCTTGCCTTTTTCTGTTACCAACACCTGCAAAGACCATGCTCTCATTCATTTATGCTTTATTTAACCATCCTCTCCTGGTGGGTATTTAGGTGTCCAGTCTTGTGCTCATTGAAACAGTACTGCCGAGAATAACCTGTGTAATGCACATCTGCAGGCATAGCTGGAGGATACATTCATAGGAGCAGGATGCTTAGAGAAAAGAGCATGTGAGTTTGAGATTTGGGTAGCTGTTGCCAGATTCCTGTTGTGGAGGTTGTGCTGGTTTAGACTCCTATCTCAGATGCTGGGATTGCCCTCTCCTTACTTCTGCTTTGTTTTTGCCAGTCCAGTAGCTAACAGGGGTACCTCACTGTAGTTCTGTTTGCATTTCTGTTATGAATGAGGCTGAATGTCTGCCTTGTCATTTGTATTCCCTTTTCTCAGTTAACTGGGAACTGTCTGTTAGTCTGTTGGTGAGCACAGAAATTTTTGCTGCCCAACTGGGGTTGTGTAATCCCGTGGGTCCAAGTGTGGGACTTAGAATGAGAGATCCCAGAGTCCATACCCCTCCTCTGCCCCTTCCTGGCTCAGTAACTTTATGCTTATCCCTTTAACTCTCTGAGCCTCAGTTTCTTCATTTGTAAAATGAGAATCATTAGATCTTCCCTCATCCTCTTGCTACGAAAGTTAAATTAGGGTGCTTTGTGTAATGTCCTTGACACATGGCCAGCCCATAATAAACACTCGTTCATGGTAGTGTTGGTTTGGGCCAAATTGGTTTCAAAAGCAAACTAGTCCAGGCCAAAAAGGGGACCAACTGGTTCCGGTAGCTGGCAAGTGTGGGTAGCATGCTCTCTTCTGGGACTCCTGGCTGAGGGTGCTTGGATGGTGGCATTGAGCTATCTTCTGCCATGGATAGGCTCCCAACAGTGGGAGCTGTAAGGAATCAACAGTTCCAGGCTATGTCCTTATGGCACAATAACTCCCATGGGAAGAGTTTTTCCCCTCCCCTCAGTAGTTCCAGCAAAAGTCCCAGGACCTATTTGCATTATCCTGAGCCAGGCACTGTGACTCTGGTTGGCGAGGTCTCTCAGGCACCGATCCCAGTTTGTGTGGACTGAAAGGGACAGAAAGAAGGGCGAGGCTCTGAAGGAAAGCCAGTGTTTCTGTTCCCAGAAGACAGAATAGATGCTGGGTGAGCAAAAACAACAGATGTCCATCTCAGAATCACAGTACTAATTCCCACCGTCACCCCCCCCCACTGCCACCTGCCTCCAGACTGCCTTTGCTTGCAATACCAGCCTCTTCCCTCTGTCTCAGAAGCAAAGCTTGCCTATGCTGGGTTCTGCTCCTGCAGTCAAGTCCTGCCTGGGATCACTGCAAGGATGTCCTGTAGTGCAGGGATCCCCAACCCCCGGGCCACCATGGCCTGTAAGGAACTGGGCTGCACAGCGGGAGGTGAGCGGCGGGCAAGCAAGCATTACTGCCTCAGCTCCGCCTCCTGTCAGATCAGCGGCGGCATTAGATTCTCATAGGAGCGCAAACTCTATTATGAACTGCACATGAGAGGGATCTAGGTTGTGTGTTCCTTATGAGAACCTAATGCCTGATCTGAGGTGGAGCAGTTTCATCCTGAAACCATCCCCCAACCCGCATCCCCTATCTGTGGAAAAATTGTCTTCCACAAAACTGGTCCCTGGTGCCACAAAGGCTGGGAACCGCTGCTGTAGGGGTGTGCTTCTGCCCCTATAATAGGGTCAGTCTTTTGCAGCTAAGCCTGCTAAAAAGCTAGAATGAGAGAAGCTGGACAGGGAGAGGTAAGCCAAGAGTCTGGTGGTGTGAACAGAAACAGAGCTCTGAAGTTTGAGATCCAAGCTCCTCCTCCCTGTTGTGTGGCCTGGAGCACAGTTACTTGAACTCACCAAACCCATTTCCTTGTCTCTAGTGCAGTTATTGCAAAGACTGCTGGGCCTTGTTTGTAAAGTGGGGGTGTGATGTAATTCAGTAGCCTGTTCACTTTGCATCTTTGGTTCACAACACAGTTCAAAGCTCTTTTAAGAATACTTGTTAGGGCCAGGCACAGTGGCTTACACCTGTAATCCTAGCATTTTGGGAGGCCAAGGCAGGCAGATCACTTGAGGCAGGAGTTTGAGACCAGCCTGACCAACATAATGAAACCCCGTCTCTACTAAAAATACAAAAATTAGCCAGGCATGGTGGTGTGCGTCTGTAATCCCAGCCACTCAGGAGGCTGAGGCAGGAGAATCGCTTGAACACGGGAGGCGGAGGTTGCGGTAAGCCGAGATCGCACAACTGCACTCCAGCCTGGGCAACAGACCAAGACTCCATCTCAGAAAAAAGAAAAAAAACAAAACAAAACTTGTTAACTGGGTGCAGCGGCTCACGCCTGTAACCCCAGCACTTTGGGAGGCCGAGGCAGGAGGATCTTTTGAGTCCAGGAGTTCGAGACCAACCTGGGCAACATAGTGAGACCTCATCTCTATAAAAAAAAAAAATTAGCTGGGTGTGGTGGCACACCCCTGTAGTCCCAGCTACTTGGGAGGCCTAGGTGGGAGGATTGCTTGAGCCTGGGAAGTTGAGGCTGCAGTGAGTCAAGATCACACCACTGCACTCCAGCCTGGGCAACAGACCGAGACTCCATCTCAGAAAAAAGAAAAAAAACAAAACAAAACTTGTTAACTGGGTGCAGCAGCTCATGCCTGTAACCCAGCACTTTGGGAGGCCGAGGCAGGAGGATCTTTTGAGTCCAGGAGTTCGAGACCAACCTGGGCAACATAGTGAGACCTCATCTCTATAAAAAAAAAAAAATGAACTGGGTGTGGTGGCACATACCTGTAGTCCCAGCTACTTGGGAGGCCTAGGTGGGAGGATTGCTTGAGCCTGGGAAGTTGAGGCTGCAGTGAGCCAAGATCACACCACTGCACTCCAGCCTGGGCAACAGAGCGAGACCTTGTCTCAAAAAAAAAGAATACTTGTTTAGTGCTTGACGATTTGGAGTTTTTTGTTTGTTTGTTTTAGTGGCGAAATCTCACTATGTTTTGCCCAGGCTAGCCTTGAACTCCTGGGCTCAAAGGATTCTGAATAGCTAGGACTATGGGCCTGCACCACTGCACCGGGCTTGACAATTATGGAACTCATTTTATATTGTCTTGTTGAATCTTCTCATCCTTGGCTCCTAGGCCTCTCTAGCCATGGACAGCAGACTTAGAAAGTCTTGGTCAGCAGCTGGGCTCACGCCTGTAATCCCAGTACTTTGGGAGGCCGAGGTGGGTGGATCACTTTAGGTCAGGAGTCTGAGACCAGCCTGGCCAACATGGTGAAACCCATCTAAAAATACAAAAATTAGCCAGGTGTGATGGTGTGTGCCTGTAATCCTAGCTGCTCGGGAGGCTGAGGCAGGAAAATCACTTGAACCCAGGAGGCGGAGGTTGCAGTGAGATGAGATCATCCCACTGCACTCCAGCTTGGGCAGGAGAGTGAGACTGCATCTCAAAAAAAAAAAAAAAAAAAAAAAAAAAATCTTGGCCAGGGTGGTATATCAGCCCAGCGTCTGGCCCTGTCCTGCCATCCCATCCTGTCTGGATGGCAGGGGCAATGGCATTATTGCAGAAGGCTGCCCTAAATATGCAGGCTAACGGCCTGAGTGTGTTGAGCGTGTTGAGAGGAACTGGAACGGATTGTTGAGCCAGGGCCCTGGGCACCTGGCCAGACCTCCCTCTGGCAATACAGCCTGAGGCATACCTGACTGGAACCACAGCAGATCTGACAGTGATGAATAATTCCAGGCATCCGGCTGACTGGACTGGGAAGAACTCTTTCAAGAGTCCCTGTGTGATGGTAGTGGTGATAATGACTGTGATGATGATAGCTGTTCTGTAGTGAGCAGAATACACAATGCTTCTTTACTTTTTTTTTTTTTTTTTGAGACAAAGTCTCGCCCTTGTCCCCCATGCTGGAGTGCAATGGCGAGACCTCGGCTCACTGCAACCTCTGCCTCCCGGGTTCAAGCAATTGTCCTGCCTCAGCCTCCGAGTAGCTGGGATTACAGGTACCTGCCACCAGGCCCAGCTAATTTTTGTATTTTTAGTAAAGACAGGGTTTCACCATGTTGGCCAGGCTGGTCTCGAACTCCTGACCTC
Organism: Homo sapiens; assembly: GCF_000001405.40. Classification (NCBI taxonomy): domain Eukaryota; kingdom Metazoa; phylum Chordata; class Mammalia; order Primates; family Hominidae; genus Homo; species Homo sapiens. The sequence continues at coordinate 29,343,894 of NC_000022.11, read as the reverse complement.
AGGTGATCCAACCACCGAGGCCTCCCAAAGTGCTGGGATTACAGGTGTGAGCCATCACGCCTGGCCACTTCTTTACATTTGTGGTTTCATCAACTCTCCATTAACGCTGTGAGGTGTAATGACTGTTTTATACGTTAGGAAACTGACTCAGAGAAGCTAAATGACTTGCCGAGGGTCTGTCAGCTGAGAAGTGATAGAACTGGAGTTCACATAAGGTGTGATCTGACTCCAGCTCCAAGCAAGCTGCCATAAGTTGCTGTTTTTAAAGCTCACAAGAATCCCTGAAGTAGGCCACACCTCTCCTTTACAGATGGGGGTAAACGGCTTCCCATTGGCTGCCCAGGCAGGGCTAGAGTCTGGAAGCCAGATGCTGGGCTGCCTCCTGCCTTGGAAACAGCCAGCCTACTGCTCATCTGCTGCTGGCCCCCATGTAACCAAATTGCAGACTCTGGTTCACCCCAGAATTGGAGGACCACGTGCCCTCCATTCTGCCTGCCTCTGTCAGCCTTCCCTGCACAAGTGCCCTCCTGCTGGGCAGGTGCCAGAGATGCCGTCAGCACGGCTGCTGCTGGGCTTCCTGCACTGCCACTCCTGCCCTCCTGCTGCAGACCTGTCCCTGGCACAGCCTATGGGCTCCCACTGCCCCTGACTCCGGGAGCATCAGGCTGCCCCCTTGTCCTAGGACTAGCAAAAATGAGACCGTGACTAAGGAAGGATTATGTGCAGAGACTTGTTCTCGCATAGATGTTTCTTCAGTCAGCAAGTATTTCTTAAGTGCCTGCTATACACCAGGCACTAGATTGGGCAGTAATTAGTGACACGACAGTAAGCAAGACAGACATCACTCCAGCCCACAGGGGGCTCACTGTACAGGATAGCCAGCAACTGGTGGCGCTGTGACGGGGTGGAAGAGGCTGCAGAAGCATGGGGGGTCTGGAGGTGGGGTTGGCATGAGATCTGAAGGGTGAGGAGGTGTTGGCCAGGATGAGGGCAGCTTTGGGTATGTCCAGGCATGTGGCAGGGGCCGGTGGAGGGCCACCAGGAATAGTTCCAACCCTCTGGTAGAAGCACAGGTCCTTGACGGCAGGCTCTGTGGGCCCTGCTGCCCCAGTCCCCTGGGCCTCCATGGGACTGTCGCCACTTGTTGACAGATGGTCCTGATAAGAAGCACTCCAGCCACACATGTGAGCTTCTCATAGTTCTGTGAATTCTAGAGCTCCAACAGGTTTCTAAAACCCTAGGGCTGGGCAGCGGCCCCTGGCCTACTTGGGTTTGCCAAATAGTCCAGTATTCAGCTCCTTCCTGAGTGAGTGATGCCGAGGTCTGGCTGCTCAGCGGCACCAACACTTGTGGCAGCCCTTTGCCTGTGTGCCGTGACAGCCCCAAACCTAGAATAGCTATGCTTGGCTTCCAGGGACTTTGAACACCCTATTCCTCTTCAAGCCTTTTTGTTCTCCCTCTATCCCCATGTGAGGCCCACACTTCCTCCTCGTCACCGCTGTTCCCTGCAGGTCCAGCTGCAGCTGCTGACAGCCATTGTGAAACTCTTTCTAAAGAAGCCAACAGAGACCCAGGAGCTGGTGCAGCAGGTCCTCAGTTTGGCCACTCAGGTGGGTGCCCCAACCTCCCCGCTGTGCCCAGCATAGCCCTCACTCAAGCAGGGGAACTTTTGTCCCAGGAACTAGACCTGGAAGCCAGGCCCGCTCCTAAGACAGGTATCTTGTGGGTGGGACTGGCTTCCAGCCCCAGAGTTACCCAAGCTCCCTGCCTTCAGGGTGCTTAGAACACAACACAAAGTGCAGTGAGGTCAAGTAGTGAAGTTGAGACAAACTAGACAGAGGAGGAGGGCCCATGGAAACCTGAGGGTGTGTGTTGGGGGCAGGAAGGGCAGGCCACAGAGGGCGGTTGGGAGTAGAGACAGGCATGGCCAGGCTGGAGTAGAGTACCATGGGGAATGAGCCCGGGGCCAGGGCATGGCCCTGTAGGTGGTATAGGGGCAGGCTCATGGGAGCACTCAGGACTGCTGTCCCCATTGGCCACCCCTGTGCCGCACCTGGCTCATGGCTGCAGGAAGGTCTCCTCCCTTCTCACCTGGCTACTCTGAGTTTCATGGGCTTCTCCTCACCCCCACAAGGACTCAGATAACCCAGACCTGCGGGACCGTGGCTACATCTACTGGCGCCTGCTGTCCACGGACCCGGTGGCAGCCAAGGAGGTGGTGTTGGCTGAGAAGCCACTCATCTCTGAAGAGACGGACCTCATCGAGCCCACACTGTTAGACGAGCTTATCTGCTACATCGGCACGCTGGCTTCCGTCTACCATAAGCCTCCCAGTGCCTTTGTGGAGGGGGGCCGGGGCGTCGTGCACAAGAGCCTGCCACCTCGCACGGCCTCGTGAGTGAGACTGGCCAGTCGGCCTGCGCCTTCACACTCTGCTTCCCCAGTTTAGCAGCACAGGCACTCAGGCCTGGCGTGTTGTCCCCCAGCAAGACCTGAGTCTGAGGAAAACTGACAACCTTTTATCAGCTATTTATTGTACACAAGGTATTTGCTAGATGACCTCATTCCAGCCTAACGACAGTGCTGAGAGCAAATGTCCCCATTCTTCAGGTGGGAACAAGAGACAAGGAGAGCTTGAGGGACTGGTCCAGGATCTCACAGCTAGCAGAGCTGGGACTCAGACCAGTTCTGTCTCATTCCAGATCCCTGTCTGCGCCTCCTCCTCTGTTGTTCCCAGGTGGTTGGTGTGGCCTGGTGGCACCGTCCTAGGGCACTGGCATCCAGTTTTCTTCTTAGCATGGGCTGAGGGCTAGAAGCAGGCGGCCCTCTCCCTTCACTCATCCTCACGGAGGACCTGAAAGATGGACCTGCTGTGGGAATGGGAATGGGGAAGAAGTGGGGCCGTGTGGACAGCCCTGTCGGGGACAGTGAGGAGACTCAGTGCCTGTCCTGGGGGACAGCTCTGCCTGGAGGCTGGGGTCTCTTTGACCTTCCTGAGACATCCTGATGCCTCCACCCTACTTCTGTGTCCCGGCAGGAGTGAGAGCGCAGAGAGCCCTGAGACAGCCCCTACTGGAGCACCTCCTGGGGAGCAGCCAGATGTCATCCCCGCCCAGGGCGACCTGCTGGGTGACCTCCTCAACCTGGACCTCGGCCCCCCAGTGAGCGGCCCACCCCTGGCCACCTCCTCGGTGCAGATGGGAGCTGTGGACCTTCTTGGCGGTGGCCTTGACAGCCTGGTATGTTGTGGGCCCCCTCTGGATGATGTTGATAATGATCCTCAGAGGAGCAGTCACTGAATGCCCCTCCATGCCAGGCACCAGCTGAGTGCCTCAGGTACATTATATAGAGTCCTTACCATTTACCCTTGGAGGTGATTGTGTAGCTCCCTACTTATGATGAGAAAACCAAGGTTTAGAGAGGCCAGGCAGCCTTCCCTCCGAGGTCGCACAGCCCCTGAGAGGCAGACAGGATTCCACTCCCTTGTTGAACCTTCGAGTCCCAGGAGACCCTGGGCAGGGAGGCGCATCCTAGCCCTTGCCCTGATCCTGGCATCACAGTCACCTTTGCCCTGTAAGGCTAGGGTGTTCCTGGCTTTGAGGAATCAGACTTGTGTCCACTTACCCTTATGCAGCGCCAGCTGGGAATAGCAGCCCATCCAGGCCTATTTGAGAGGGCATGGGAGGCCGGGGAGAGAGGGGAGTGGGAAGACAGTAGGGAGGGGAGTGGTGAGACTGACTTGGGTATCTCCCTGGGGCTTCCTCAGGCAACTGGCAGGACCATGTGTGGGGGCGCCTAAACCTCTTCATTTGGCTGTGCTCGGCTCAGGTCCGCACGGTGGCAGCACGGGGGCAGGACACTGGTGATCAGTGCTGCTAGGGTGAGGCAGGAAGGGCTGTGGTGCAGGACAGGTGTTGGGGTAAAGGTGTGGGGTAGTGCCTTTCATAGAGACAGGGTCTGGGCCTCTCGCCAGACCTCACACCACACTCCTCTCGGATGGAGCTACCGTTGACTAATCTCCCTCTTTCCCTTCTCTCTCTTGTTTCTCTGTCTTCCTTCCTGGCTTTTTCTCTCTGCATGTGGCTGCCTGTTCTCTTCACCTGCCTGCTTCTGCTTGGAGATGGGGGATGAGCCTGAAGGGGTATGGTTCAACCCTTGCGTCACCAAGCCTTCGTCCTTGCTCCTCCCGAAAGCGCTGGCCCAGCATCCCAAGGGGCGGGGGCGGGTGATGTCACAGCAGCCTCCACCTGCTGAGCCCCTGCCTTGGTCCAGCATCCTGGCAGCCTCTGTCTTGACCACCTGGCATCCGGCTGCCACTGGGCCCCATAGCCATGGATTCTTGCCCAGTCCTCACCACCCCATGACACGTCGCCTTGTCATCGCGGGGATTGCCAGCCCTCAGTCCCACAACCCTTCTCTGATGTCCTGGAGGGAGAGCACCCATCTGCGTAGCATGTCTCCACCCAGCCGTGTGTCTTGGGACCTCCTTTTATCCATAGGCTGAGCGTCAATTTGGGAGTGTCCCCAGCCCTTTCCCAGAGGTTACTCCTAAGGCTCAAGGCTTGCAGGGCACGGGAGGGCTCAGCCTCTCTTCTCCACCCACCTCTCTCTGTCTTGTTTCTGTAATTTAGAGTTGATATGGAGGCTGTCCTGCCCCCTGCCCCCAGTGTCTTCTAAAGAGCCAGGTGGCTCTACTCATTCCCAGACCCTGATGTCTTTGCCTCTTGACGCCCACCTCTGACTCTTTCCCTCCCTTTCCAGATTGGGGGCACCAACTTCGTGGCACCTCCAACAGCAGCAGTACCAGCCAATCTTGGAGCACCCATCGGCAGTGGCCTGAGTGACCTCTTTGACCTGACCAGTGGCGTGGGCACCCTGTCAGGATCATATGTGGCCCCCAAAGCAGTAAGTCACTTGTCTTCTGTCTTGGCGGGAGCAGAGAGAAGTTATGGAGACTGGCATGTGGGCTCCTTTAAATGGCCTCGGCTGTGGAATTGGCTCAGGCCAGCAGTGATGAGGGAAGCTGGGGGCCACAGGGGCACCGAGGAAGAGGAGCTAAGTCAAGCTTGGTGGGTACCTAGGAAGGCTTTCCAGAGGAGTCGCAGGACCTCAGTAGCTGAACAAAAGCGGATAGGGGCTCCAGACCAAGGGAACAGTCTGTGGTAAGGCCTGGAGGGAAGGGAGACCACGGCCTTTGTGAGGGAATCAGCAGAGGCCTGTCAGGTGGGAGCAGTAGTTCTCAGTGCCATCAGACTCAGCACCCCTTAGTCATCATAGACATTTTACATTGTCACCATTCCTCTCCTTAAATGCAATTGGTGGGCTGTGTAACCTACCTACACATAGCATTCCAAAAATACTCAGATGCTTTCACTGCATGGAGGAGACATAAAAGGGAGAGAATACAAGTGTATGTATCAATGTTATAAACGTCTGGGCACGCCTGCCCGCTCACCCCAGAAGACATGAAGTTGCCAGGTGTTTGCTGCAGGGCAAAGTCACTGTGACTGTGGCAACCACAGTCTGGGTGTTTGTAGCCTGGACCCCGTGAATGGTTTGGCCAGTGGTGCCATTTGTTTCTGAAGTGGTCACTGACTCCCAGTAAGGTTTGGAGTAAGATAAAGAACAGGCTTCCCTCGATTTTCCTGAGAATTGTGTTCCTGGAAGTCTCAGGATATGTTGAAACCATGCAGAAAATACTGGAAGGATGCAGGACAGTTGCTTGTTGTGGGGTGGTTGTCCCCATGGTAGGATGTCCAGCATCCCTGACTCCAGCCCACTACATGTTATGCCACCTGAAGATGCCCACAGATGCCCACTATGCCACCTAGGGCACACCCCCAAGACTCCTGGCTAGACTAGGGATCAGTGAAGGAGGAAGCTGGCAAGGCTGGCGGGCCAGGCTGAGCGTTTCTTCTTGATCCTGGCACAGCCGGAGCCATTGGAAAGTTTTAAGCAAAGAGATGAACCAGTCTGATTTGCACTTGAGAAAGATGGCTGCGTCTGCAGGGAAGGGGTGGGGCAGAAGCACCGGCCCCGGGGGATTCCGTGGCAGGGAGGAGGAGTGCTGGGGCAGCTGGACCACGGGGGCTCTTGTGGGTGGAAACAGCGGCCAGACTTGAGAGCTCCCTGGGAGGGAGGAGCCGGGGCTGAGGGAAGGAGAGTTGAGTTTGGGATGTGAGGACATGCGGGCCTGGCACTGAGGAGAGCTCAGTGTGGGCCATGTTGTCAGTGTCAAGGAAGCTGCCAGAGGGGACCAACCAGGCCTGATCCCCTCATCACACTCAGATCAGAAGTTGTGTTTGCCAGAGCTCCCCTCTCTCTTCTGAGGTCCCCACCCCAAAGCAGGATACAGTTGGCGGTCAGGGGCAGTGACAGCTCTGTCATGACTAGGGAGCCATGAGCCAGCACCTCCCCACCCCCTGAGCTGGCTTTCCCCACCATATGCCAGCTGCACCTGCAGTGGTGGTGACTGGAGCCCCTGGCAGGGTCTGGGCACTGAGAGGCCCACAGCAGACAGCAACTCGGACACTAGTAGCCGCACACTTCCTTGTAGGGACAGCACAGCATTCCACAGCCACCGCCAGCACGTCCTCCTCCCAGCAGCCCTTTGTGGCTCTTCCTCCTATTTCGTGGTTGAGAAATCCTAGTGCTTTTGCCTAAGGTCACATAGCTGGTGACAGAGTCTGGAAGTGAAAGCAAGTGACACTAAAGCCTCTGCTCCAGACCCCTATATGATGGTCCCCACAGAGCGTGAGAACCACCTGTGCACCTGCCTTCATGCGTGGGGTGTCAGGGCCAGCAGGGCCACGGGAACGTAGAATCGCGGCATAACGTACAGCATGTGCAGTTGACTTACTACCTGGATTAGCTGCACCAAGGCATGAGGCCAACTCGTACTCACCAGAAGCCCAATATCACAGGCATACAAAGCAGGACTAAGGGACAGAGAACAGCAAAGACTCCTGTAACCCTGTGGGTGCCAGCCCTTGCCAGGCACTGCAGAGCTGCCAGGAAAAATAAGCCTGGAGCTGGCCTTTGGCAAGCTGGCACTAGGCTTGTGTGTTCATCTTTTTTTTTTTTTTTTTTTGAGACAGAGTTTTGCTCTTGTCACACAGGCTGGAGTGCAATGGTGCGATCTCAGCTCACTGCAACCTGTGTCTCCGGGGTTCAAGCGATTCTTCTGCCTCAGCCTCCCGAAGTAGCTGGGATTACAGGCACCTGCCACCATGCCTAGCTAATTATTTGTATTTTTAGTAAAGACAGGATTTCACTATGTTGGCCAGGCTAGTCTTGAACTCGTGACCTCAGATGATCCACCTGCCTCGGCCTCCCAAAGTGCTGGAATTACAGGTGTGAGCCACTGCGCCCAGCCATGTGTTTGTCTTACCAGTGTTACCCCTGCTTTGTCTTCGTGAAGGGTCAGATGAGTGTATCCAACAGAGCATGCTGGAAAGGAGAGGGGAGGGGATCTCCTAGTCAAGAGTCATCAGGGCAGGTTGCCTGGAGGAGGAGTTTTTCTGCCACGGGCAGGACTTTCCCCACTGCCTTGGTCATGGGAGGGTTCTAGGGTGTGGGTGCACTATCCCTTCAGAATCACTCAGTAGGTATCCACATCTTCCTAACAGCGCTGTGGCCACCTGGAATTGTTCATTCCTCATGCATTTCCACACCCTGCTTGTGGGGTTACAGACATTGGCCAACCATGTTGGTCTAAGGAATGAGGCTGTCTGTGCATAAGAACTTTTGGGTTCCTCACCATTTGAGTCTGCTGGTGGTGACAGTTCATTGGTTCATCCAGTAAAGATTGAAGATGGTTCTGTTGGGACCTGTGTGAGATGCCATGAACCCATAGTGACCAAGAGCAGTGCGGTCTGCATCCCCAGCCTTGGGCGACTGAGAGAGGGCCAGGGGAAAGGAGGCCTGATTGGGGGGCCCCTGGAGAGTTGTCCATGAGAGAGCCATGCCCCCCGGTCAGGTTCAGCCAGCTTCTGCGTACTCTCTCAGCCGCCGTGGCACAGCCAAGAACAAAAGCAGGGTGCTTTCTGTCCTCACAGATCTGTCCGGGGGCGTGCTCAGGGTTAACCGAGCAGGATGGGGGTGGGGAGGCGCTTTCAAAGCAGAGGGAACAGCCAGTGTGAGGTCCCAGGGGCAGGGGCAAGCCAAGCCTGGGGAGCAGATGGGCACCAGGCTGTGGAGGCCAAGGCCCGTGGAGGCCATTGCAGGATTGGAAGGAGTTTCTCAGGGTGCCATGATCAGATTTGCATTTCACAAGATAACATCAGCTGCTGTGGAAAGGGGGAGAGGGTGGAAATGGGGTGCCACCTGGCAGCTGCTGTCTTACCTGGGAAATCTGGTGGCAGCTTAGATGCTGGTGGCACCTCTGGAGATGGAGAGAAATGGAGGCCCTGGAGGCAGATGTAAGAGGTGGCCTTCACAGGACTTGGGTTGCGTGACTGTCTCAAGGGGGTTAGGGTGGGGTGGGGGGCTGGTGCCTGATGTTTCTGTGGTTTCTGGCCTGGCAACCTGAGAGACAGTGGGACCTTTGTTGGCACTGAGTGCGCTGCGGAAGCTGTCGGTGGGGTCTGAGCCTTTTCACCTCAAGGGGCCTGTGAGCCGTCCACAGGAGAGTAACCGCCTGAGAGGCGTTTGTGAGCCCACAGGATGCCGCTGGTGGATGTCTTCCATGGCAGGGCTCTAACTCATCCTGTTTGCTCAGCAAACACTCCCCAAACACTGGTTTCACACCAGGCTCTGAGCCAAGGTGGTAAAGACAGAAAAACAGAGCCTTTCCCTCAGCGAGCTCTCTGAGTACAGGAGAGACAGACACAAGCTCATATTTATCTGCCATAACATCACTGGGGCGAGGGAACCTGGGGGCAGGGTTCCAGGAGGAGGTGGTTCTTGAGCTGAGACTTGAATGACAAGGGCAGCCAAGCAGCAGAAGGCCTGCCAGGCGAGGGGTCCTCTTAGGTACTGTCCTTGGTCAGACCAGTTTCTACAGCCAAAGGCCAGCCCTGCCTCCTGCAAGGGAGGACAGGCGGTGATGGCCAGGAAGGCCCAGATTCTGGCCGAGGCCCAGGATGCCATTGGGCACTGAGCTCTGTCCTTAGCTCATGGCATCCCTCAGCCCTACTTCCCAAGTGATCCCTCCATTGCCAGCTCATGGCCTCCCTCAGCCCTACTTCCCAAGTGATCCCTCCATTGCCCTCTGAGGACTCAACGTCAGCCCTGGAGCGCTGAAGTGCCTCCCCACCCTGAGCTGCTCCGAGAGGCAGCCTGTCATGGCGGTGGCCCTAGATGGTACATGGGATTGTTCTGTTCCCAGTACACACCTGTTCATCCCCTAGCAGTAAAGGTGGGGGTGCTGGATCTGGGAGGCCCCTGCAGGAGAGAGAGAGAAAAAGCACCCTCAGGTGGGCTGTTGAGTTTGGGCTGCAGGAAGAGGCACCTACCCGCCCCCTCCGCACCCTCTTCCCTGCAGGTCTGGCTCCCAGCCATGAAGGCTAAGGGGCTGGAGATCTCAGGCACCTTCACCCGCCAGGTGGGCTCCATCTCCATGGACCTGCAGCTGACCAACAAGGCCTTGCAGGTCATGACCGACTTTGCCATCCAGTTCAACCGCAACAGGTGAGAGCTCCCTGAGGCCAGCGCACCTCTCAAGAGGAGGCCTGTGAGAGAACCCACTCGGAGTCTGTTCTGGGGACTGCAGGCAGGGGTGGGGGCTGTAGAGGGGAGGGCAGTGCCCCTTTTCTGAAGGATGTTCCCCACCACCGCTCAGGCCAAAACTCTCTGAAGCACTGGGTTTTGTTTGTTTGTTTTTTCTTTTGGAGACAGAGTCTCACTCTGTCACACAGGCTGGAGTGCAGCAGCGCCATCTCGGCTCACTGCGGCCTCCACCTCCTGGGTTCAAGCAATTCTTCCGCCTCAGCCTCCCGAGTAACTGGGACTACAGGTGCACACCACCACGCCTGGCTAATTTTTTGTATTTTTAGTAGAGATGGGGTTTCACCATCTTGCCCAGGCTGGTCTCGAACTCCTGAGCTCAGGCAATCCGCCCACCTCGGCCTCCCAAAGTGCTGGGATTATAGGTGTGAGTGACCGTGCTCAGCCAAGCAGTGGGATTTTTACCCCCAAGTGGCCTCTTCATATGGACTCCAAAGTACCAGGCAGAGTGGGAAAGGACGTCTTTCTTTTTAGTTTTTATTTTTTTTGAGATGGCCTCAGTGTATTGCCCAGGTTGGTCTTGAACCCTTGGGCTCAAGCAATCCTCCTGCCTCAGCCTCCTGGGTCTCTGGGACTACAGGTGCACGCCACCACACCTGGCCCCCCTTATTTTTGCCTCCACAGTCCAAAGGAGTGTTTTACAGACAGAAACGCCCTGCTCCAGCTGAGAAGCCCACCTCTGGCAAACACCCCACATAGGAGGGGCCCATCTTAGGGACCAGCTCTCAGAAGGCTGGTGGGGAGTGGGCCTGCCTACCAGCCTCCCCATTGTGGCAGAGGATTAAAGTGTCAGATGGGGCCTCTGGGAGCGGTAGCTGCTTCAGGCCCCTCCCCACCGGGTCCGCTACACTGGGTGTCAGTGGGAAGGTTGCGTCATGGACCCAGCCAGTGAGGCTAGGACTCCCTGGGGACCCCTGGCAGCCCCTCCTGATGATTCTTCTTCCTGAGCACGCTCATGATGAGCAAACTGAGCCTCTAAGAAGTTGACTGAAGGGGCTGCTTCCCCAAGGAAGCCTGGGGGCCAGTAGGTCCTGACCCTTGGGCAGACCGGGGCTAGGGGTGGCTCTACCACTTACCCTCATGTGACCCTGGAGGCCACAGAAGTGCACCAGGCTCCGAGAGGTGGTTCCAATGGTTGCCTCTAGCAAACTTACTGTGTGCTGAATGCTTCCTGGGCACCCAGGCCCTGTGGCACCGGCTTTGGGAGTATTGTCTCACTTGAGCCACTTGATGGCCCAGCAAAGTCACTGCCATCACCCCTTTTTAGTAGGTAATGACACCTGGGCTCCTTGGACAGCTCACATAGCGAGCAGTAGTGGAGCTCCCAGGAAAGCCTAGTGTGCTGAGCCACCAAGCGGACCTGGGGTTCCCCAAATGGTCTCCCTCTGTGTCCCAGGCAGGCTGATGGCTTCTTGGGCAGAGCACAGGCTGGGGTCAGACAGCCCAAACTCTGATTCTCAGCAGCGCCCTCACCCTATGGGGTCTGACACAGGCCTGCTCCTCCCTGAGACGGTGTCCTCATCTAGAGGATAGGAAGAGGTGTACCTGGCTCTGTTTTTATGAGGCTAGGAGCAGGTATAATATTGAATCCGCAGCCCAGGTATACCGAGCCCTCGGTTTGTGCCCCCAGTCCCATGCCCTGTGACTTACCTTCCAAGAGCCTGCTGCTGGCGTGTCTCACACCCATGAGGATCTTCCTAATTTGTCACTGTGCTGCTTTGCAGAGAAGCAGAGCTTTCCTGAATCTCTCTGTGGCCACTGTGTGACCTGGCAAGTTCTGGCCAAGAGAGTAAAATCTAGCGTCTTGCTTGGGATGGTCAGATCCCTTCTGGGAGTTGAGGATTGGCAGCAGAGACTTGGGTGGTCCCAGAGTTTTCAAGGTAGAAGCAGCTTATACTCCAGGCCCCTGGCATTAGACAGAGCTCCTTGAGGGCAGGACAGGGCAAGGCCTGCCTACCTGGGCCCACCAGTGCCTGGCCCAGAGGAGAGGAACAGAGCTGGGCTTCAGGCCTGCAGCCAGGCTGGGGCAGAGCAGAGCAATTGGCCTGGGGCTCTTTCTTTCTGTCCAGATGGCCATCTGGGGGAGGGGACCCACAGCCCATCCTTCTGTCCAGGGTCCAGAACATGGGAAGGCTGGCACGGTGAGAGGCTCCCTGCCAACCACAGCCCCAGCTCCCGAGTCGGAGGAGCTCACCTGTCCCGCATCAGCACCTACTCCCCCTGCCATCCCTGTGGGGCTTCTCTCTCCCCAGCTTTGGCCTGGCCCCCGCCGCCCCCCTCCAGGTCCACGCGCCACTCAGCCCCAACCAGACAGTGGAGATCTCCCTGCCTCTCAGCACGGTGGGCTCGGTCATGAAGATGGAGCCTCTGAACAACCTCCAGGTGGGTTCCGGGCAGGGCAGGCACCCCAGTCCTTACTCACCTACCAGCCGGGCCCCACTGGGGTCAGTAGAAGGTCGTGTCTGCGGAGTCATGCTCTTAGCTGCAGATGTGTTGGGGAGGCCCAGGTTGGGGAACGAAGGGGTGTGTTTACCAGGGAAGGCCCTGGGAGAGAATCTGCTCAGTGACACTCTTCCTGGGGCCTCAGAGGTGGCGTCAAGCCCCAGAGACTGACTGGGGACCCCCTTGTGCCTAGGTGGCCGTGAAGAACAACATCGATGTCTTCTACTTCAGCACCTTGTACCCACTGCACATCCTCTTTGTGGAGGACGGGAAGATGGGTGAGTCATGAGGGAGCCCGCTGGGGTGCCTGAAATGGGGCTGTGGCTTGGGAACCTGGCCAAGGTGGTGCCTTTACCAAGGTCCAGATGGACTGCCTTGCCCGTAAATGGAGTCGGGGAGTTGCTGCTTCCCTGCAGGGCCTGGAGTGAGGGGTATACCCAGGACCCCCCCGGCCTTAGTGGCCAGTTCTGGTCTGGCAGGTGGGCTGTGCCACATGGAACTCACCCCACTCCCAGGCTCTCCTGCTCGCTCCTCAGCCTTGTCCCATGGGCTGCAGCGAGCCCAGGTCATGCCCCACACCTGGTAACCCCCTCCTCTGTGCCCTTTCTGGAACCCCCAAGAAGGGTGTTGATCACAGCACACAGACGGCCTGCACCCTGCCCCTGGCTGCGTGGAGCCCTTGGCCCATGTCATCTCTTGCTTGCCACAGAAGGCCTGCATGGGAGGCTGTGACTAACGAGCAGGCTGCTCACCGAGGAGGAGGAAGGCGTGTGGGGGTGGGGAGGGGAGATCCAAGGCCTGGAGGCAGGAAGCCAGGGTCATTTGGAAGCGGCACTGGGGCCTCCCTCACAGAGCGGAGGGTGTGCTTAGGGAAGCAGGAGGGCTGTGCGGCAGCTAGTGCCTGTTGTCAGCTTTCACGTGGCACAGTAAAGGCCAGACCCATTTCCTGCTGAGCTACAGAGGGCCCACAGGTTTATGAGGGGCTCGCCTCTCATCCCCACCCTGCTCACCCCGCAGACCGGCAGATGTTCCTGGCCACATGGAAGGATATTCCCAATGAGAATGAGGCCCAGTTCCAGATCAGAGACTGCCCCCTCAATGCAGGTGAGGACTCCGAGCCCCCGACCCCAGCCCCTCGCCTGTACCCAGGCCCCCGCGCTGACTGGGGCCTCTCACGGCCATGTGACCCCACAGAGGCTGCGAGCAGCAAGCTGCAGAGCAGCAACATCTTCACTGTCGCCAAGAGGAACGTGGAGGGCCAGGACATGCTCTACCAGTCCCTGAAGCTGACCAACGGCATCTGGGTGCTGGCGGAGCTGCGGATCCAGCCGGGCAACCCCAGCTGCACGGTGAGAGCCCCGGCACCCGCCCTGCAGCCTTGGAGCCTCCCCTTCGTCCCATGCCAGGGGGTGGCCCTGGTGGAGGACGCGGTCCAAGCGTCCCTTCAAGCCTGGCTTGAACTAGAATCAGTTTGGTCCCTGAGAAGGACCTTTCTAGAAAGCTTCCAAATCAACCCCGTCAGGTTACCCAGATAAGACACCAATTGGGTCTCGGAACAGTGAGTTGGACTAGAAGATTGTGTAAAATTGGGCCCTGTAAGGTGGTGCAGTTGGTTTGGCACCCCTGACTGGGAAGTGACATTGCTGGGCACAGGCCCTGGCCCTGTCCTGTGAGTGCCTGCATGTCCAGCTGGGAGGACAGTGGTTCCCAGGAGCCTGAACCTCCCAGCCTTTGAGGTAGACCTGTTAGAGAATGGCTTCCCTGGGGCACACAGTTGTCCTGGAGGCCTGCACCGCTGTTCCAGGGCCCCGGACAGCCCCAAACTCTGCTTCTCCCCCACACCCCTGAGTCTCTGGCAGGCATGGCCCTCCAGACACTGCCCCTCCTGGGTCCTGCTGGCAGTGCTGGTCGGTGGGGGGCTGTGGCGTGGCTTCGGTGGTGGTAACTTCCGTCTCCCTGTGTTTGGTTGCTGCATGTCACCTTCCCTGCTGGTTCCCGTGGTGCAGGACTTAGAGGTTAGCAGATCGCTTTCTCTTTCCCCGTCCGCCCTCCCCAGTCTTGTCTCCTGTCATGGCCCCCATGCACCCCATGTCTCCTGTCTGCACCTCATCTCTTGGCCTCACCTCACCCGGGGGGCTTCAGCCAGGTGGCCCTGATTGAGGTGCTGACACCCCACTTCCACACATTCACAGTGTGCACAGAGTCCTTCCTAGGAGACCTGGAGGGCCCGTGGGCTGCTGCTGACCTGCGGAACTCCATTGTTCCCACTTCCTAACTGCACCCTGCAGAACCAGTGCTTTAGAGTGGATGGGTGGGGGCTCCTCTCTCCTCTGCCTGTGATCTCAAGCTCAGGCCCCAGAGCGGAGGCAAAGTCTCTACCGTGCCTGCTTCCTACGCAGGAAACCAGGAATGAGCCCAGCACCCCTCCAGGCTCCCTCCCAGCCCTCCGCACCCCCTCGGGATTTTCTGTCAGGCTTCAGTCCTGAGGACCCCAGACCTTCAGGGACTCTGGGGGGCCGGGCAGCCCTCAGGGTGGGGGCCGGGCACTCCCTGGCAGCCTCCGGCTCGTGACTCACACTGCTCGCCAGCAGGGCTCTGGTGACTGGGCTGACAGCAGGTGTGTGGGCTGCAAGTATATTTGGTCCACACCCGGCTGGCTGCGACAGCCGCCCCCTCCGCTTTACCTCACATCTGTGCCAGGCGCAGCTGCCGCCAGGCTGTGTGCACTCCACGCTGTCCCATTGGTTCCTGCTCTCTTCCCCACCCCTTTCCTTCCTGAGAGGAACCCCAGGGATGAGCGCTCTTTCCCCCGACCCCTCTCTCCCCTGCAGCTGTCCCTGAAGTGTCGAGCACCAGAGGTGTCCCAGCACGTGTACCAGGCCTACGAGACCATCCTCAAGAACTGAGACCCCGGCCAGCGCCCACCCCAGCCTTCTGCCCGCCCCATCGAGGAGGCCCCTCGGGGGCAGCACATCTTCCTCCTCGCAGGAGGGACCAGGCGGGGCTCCAGGCCACTCAGTGGGCTCCCTGGTCCTGATGGCAGAACCCACCCGATCCCTGGGGTAGGGCACCACCCCCTCCTGGGGTGAGAGCGCAGTGCACTCCCGTGCTCTGGGACACCCCTGCTCCTGTGGCTGTGATGTGGGGTTAAGTGAGGTGGGGACCAAAGGAAACAGAGCCAGAGCAGCCACAGAAGCTGTGCCTGAAGGGTGAGTGTGGAGCTTGCCCCTCCGGCTCACAGCCCCGGCAGCCCCTGGCTCCTTGGTCTCTCCGGTTGGTGTTAAAGGGCCCTCCACTGCCACCTCTCATGGGATGGACCCTGCCAACCTGGCCTGGGTGTGCAGGGAGGGGTTCCCCTTGGTACCAGGAGAGCTGCTCACTTAGGGCCTGGGGCTCAAGGAGCTGTAGGTGCCGGCAGAGGGGCAGAGCTAGGCTGGGAGGAGCCCAGGGCCTGCACCACCCACTTGCAACCACCAGGCTGGTGCCCTGCAGCTGTGCCAGTTGGGCCACAGCCTCCCGAGTGCTGACCCACATGGTCAAGACCAGGCAGAAGCTCCCAGAGCCCCTGTCTCGGGCTCCCCACCGACTGGCAGCTGCACTATCCCCAACTCCCCACTTCTGCCCCAAGGGTGGTCACTGCCTGTGATACATTCCTCAGTGTCGCCTCTGAGCCCAGGCCTCCTGCCACAAAGACTGGGCCGAGAGATGGGGCTGGGTAAGCGGGTGCGCCTCCTGTTTGGGTTTCTTCGGGGTTTCTCTGTAGTGTCTGCTGCCCTCCTCCTGGCCTCCCAGGTTTCAGTTGTGTCTGACAGAGCATTAGGTTTTCCTGTTACTGCTGTGTAATAATAAAGAAAGATTCGGCTTTTGGCAATCACGGACACTTTTTTCCCCTCCACCGAATGTCAGGATTGAAAGCTGCCTCCGAGTGGTTGGGGATGGTTTTCTGACCCTACGGTAACTAGATCTAATATATATCATCAGAAAATATATATTGTATGTTTACTCTTATTTTCAGAAAGAGAAAATGAATAAAAATGATGACATCAAGTGTGTCCCCAGCCAGTGTGTCAGGCCCGAGGCTCTTCTGGGCAGGAGTCCCGGGCTGCAGGGACCCCAGGGTCAAAGGCTCCAGTGGTATGTGCGGCAGCAGCCCCTCCCGTGGCACTCTGAGGACAGCGCCTTCCCTCCATCCTATCCTTGGCAAACTGACTGCTGCGGCCTGCTGCTGTCCCTGACCCCTCTCCTGCCATTGATCCCACCTCCCCCAGAGCTGACAATGCCTCGCCTTGTGATGCTGGCCAGAAGGCTGGGCTCCCCTTGTGGTTTTCCCCAGCTCCCTGCCATCTGGGAGGCTCCAGGGGCCGTGGGAGATCCCCTGATCAGGGGCAGCCGTGGGAGAGGGGGTGGGCGTGTGGACCAGGCCAGCCGCCACCGAGGACACCTTGTGTGGCCCCAGTCCTGGCACTGGCCTGGCTCCCAGTGAGGGTGGCCAGACCCTGGGCAGGGCTTCATCGGCTGAGCTGCCTCCTGGCTGGTGGGCCTCAGCCTGCTTCTGAGGGAGGAGCAGCCCAGGTGTCCCTCAGCCTGTTTCAGCTCCAGCCGCTCCCTCGTGTTCTGTCTGCACTTAGTCCCCCCACATGCTGCCCACCTCACACACACCGCTGCCTTCCTGGCTGCTGGAAGCTGGGTGAGACAGCCTGCCCTCTTGCAGGGCATCACAGGGGCACCTGGCCCTCCACTGCCCCACCTCTGACCTCTGTGGTGTCACTGTGCTGCCCTGGGGACCCCAGGGTCAAGGGCTCGAGCTGTGTGCCCAGCTGTGGCCCCTCCAAAGAGTCCAGAACCAACCAAGGCCCTTGACTGTGCAACCCTGGTTCTTGCCTCGCCTGAGAGTCTCTGCCCAAATGCATCTGGAGTCCCTGCCCTGCCATGGAACTAGAGGTTGGTGAGCCCTTAATGAGAGGGACTCTCACCCTGCCGTGTCGTCTGCCTCCCCTGAGCCCAATACCTTCGCACTCTGCCTGGGAAGCAGCTGCACGGGCCACCACGCCCATGGCCTGCCAGCTCAGCCATTCAGGGAGCTTGGCACTTCACCTCCCCACCCCTCCATTGCAAGGTCGGAAGAGTGCAAGTGTGGGATCGCTGTCCCCACCGGAGGCCCAGGACAAGCCACCCGGGTGAGGAGAGCTGGCAAGAAAGGAGGACCATCCCTAGACACCTTGTGTTTGAATGAGTCTGCTCAAGCCTCAGGTGATTGTGAGCGGTGCCTCACTACAGTTGGGCCCCTCTTTCACCCCCACAGTGCTCAGCATAAGGCGACCCAGCATATACTGGACTAAGCATATAATGCGGCTTAGTTTACATGCAGGGAAACTGAGGCAGGGAGGGCCTTCATGCTCCCAGTCCCCCACACTACTGCATCAGGAGAATAGACACACAGGATGCTACTTTGGGCCCCTGCCTTTAGGAAGAGTACCTCAGGGCATAGCCAGTCTGTGCCCTTCAGCTTCCCTGTCCCTCCCTCACCTCTGAGGGTCATCACAGGCCGCCTCCCTCCTGCTCATGTGGCACTTCCTGGTCCTGACACGCTCAGGCCTCCCCGTCTCGCCTCTTGGAGGCCTTGGCATCCCGCAGCTTGGGGAACTTCCCAGACTTTTCTTGGGAAGATTCCCAAGTGTCTTGAACCTTCCCAGCCAATCAGGAAATCCAACAACAGCAACCAGTTATTTCTGGAGGGTCCAACACATACCCAAGGGCCGATGGGCTCCCCTGTGCACCAGACACTGCCAAGGCTGTTGCGGGACCTGGTTTTACGTTGTTTAATTTTCAGCTAGTGGTTTGCGTTCATTTTTGTGGAGCAAGTAATTCAGGACCATGGTGAGGTCAGCCAGCCAGAGAATAAAGTTCTCCCTCCCACCCCATCCTCAGTCCTTAATTTTCCTCCCTTGAAGGCAGACATTGTCACTAGATTTTGATTTTCCTCCAGGGATATTCTGCACATGTGTATAAGCAAATCCATATAGAGTTTTACTAAACGAATGATGGCCTACCTAGACACTGCTAGCACATCGCTTCTCTGACCTGACAGTCGTTTCTGGAGCTCTTTCCCTATCAGTAGGAGCAGACCGCCTCAGGCTTCCTTGTGTGAATGGGCCACCGTTAGCCAGTCCCTGCTGCGGGGCATTCAGGCTGTTTCTGCACCCTAAGCAATGCTGCAGCGAATACTTCCCACATACACCCTCCTGCCTGGGCAGGGATGTAGCTGTAGGATCTAGCCCCGGAACTGCTGAACCAGAGGGTATACCCAAGATGCATTTTCTATTTTAGTTCTTGTTTTGAAAAGGTAACACATTCACATGGCTCAAAATCTAAAGACAAGACAGATGTAAAAACCTACCCCTTTCCCTCATTTTCCTCCCCAAAGGAAACCACGTAATTATCCAAAGAGACTTGGCAGTGCCTAATTGGATTTTTTTCCCTTCTTGTGTGGAAATAGTAGCACGGAATACATGTTGGGCTTATATCGCAGAGGTTTTTCCATTATTAGCCCATTACAGAGAGTGTCCTCATGCCTTTTTTTTATTTTTTCATTTTTAAATTTTTATTTCTTTTTTGAGATGGAGTCTCACTCTGACGCCCAGGCTGGCGTTCAGTGGTATGATCTCAGCTCACTGCAACCTCTGCCTCCCAGGCTGGCGTTCAATGGTATGATCTCAGCTCACTGCAACCTCTGCCTCCCAGGCTCAAGTGTTCCTCCTGCCTTAGCCTCCCAAGTAGCTGGGATTACAGGCGCCCGCCACCACGCTTGGCTAATTTTTGTATTTTTAGTAGAGACAGATTTTCGCCATGTTGGCCAGGCTGGTCTTGAACTCCTGACCTCAGGTGATCTGCCCGCCTCTGCCTCCTAAAGTTCTGGGATTACAGACGTGAGCCACTGCACCCAGCTGCCTTTTTTTTTTTTTTTTTTTTTTTTTTTTTGAGACAGAGCCTTGCTCTGTCGCCCAGGCTGGAGTGCAGTGGTGTAATCTCAGCTCACTGCAACCTCCGCCTCCCAGACCCAAGTGATTCTCCTGCCTCAGCCTCCCAAGTAGCCGGGATTACAGGAGCACACCACCATACCCGGCTAATTATTTTTTGTATTTTTATTAGAGATGGGGTTTCACCATGTTGGCTAGGCTGGTCTTGAACTCCTGACCTCAGGTGATCCGCCCTCCTTGGCCTCCCAAATTGTTGGGATTACAGGCGTAAGCCATCGCACCTGGCCTTTTTTCTCTTCTTCTTTTCTTTCCCTTTTTTTTTTCTTTTTTTTTGTGACAGGGTCTCTGTTGCCCAGGCTGGAGTGCAGTGATGTGATTACCACTCACTGCAGTCTTAACCTCCCAGGCTCAAGTGATCCTCCCACCTCAGCCTCCTGAGTAGCTGGGACTACAAATGCGCACCACCACACCAAGTAAATTTTTGTATGTTTTTGTAGACGGTCTTGCCGTGTTGCCCAGGCTGGTCTCAAACTCCTGGGCTCAATAACCTGCCTGCCTCAGCTTCCCAAAATGCTAGGATTACAGGCATGAGCCATCGCGCCTGGCCCTTCCCATGTTTTCAATGTGCCTCTTTGCATGTGTTTTTGAGCCACTTGTATGTCCCTTTCTGTGAGCTGTCTTCACATTTTCTGCCATTTTTCTATCTGATTATTGATCCTTTTCTTACTGATTTACCATTATTCCTCCCTATTTTGTTACTGCTTTTTACTTTTCCATGCTGAAATTGGGCTTTTTAAGATGTAATTTTCTTTTAATTTTTTCTTTCTAGTACTTGTCTGCTCTTCATTTTTGCATTTCAATCCTGTTCCATCTGGGCTTTCTGTAGGAATGAGGTAGGGATCCAACTTCCCTTTTTCCCCAGATGGTTCCCCACTTGTCTCCACACCATTTACTGAATAATTCATCTTTTCCCCACAGATTTGAAATGCCATTTTTATCATATTCTAAATTTCCACATATATCTGGGTGTTTTTCTGGACTCTGTTCTATACAAGATAATTTGTCTATTCATGTTTTGATAACTTTTATTTTTATTTTTATTCATTTATTATTTTTGAGACAGGGTCTCACTCCTGTCACCCAGGCTGTTGTGCAGTGGTGTGATCTGAGCTCACTGCAACTTCCACCTCCCAGGCTCAAGCAATCCTCCTGCCTCAGTCTCCCAAATAGCTGGGGCTACAGGTGAGAGCTACCACACCTAATTTTTGTGGTTTTTGTAGAGATAGGGTTCCCCCACGTGGCCCAGGCTGGTCTCGAACTCCTGAACTCAAGTGATCCACCCGCGTTGGCCTCCCAAAGTGCTGGGATTACAGGCATGAGCCACCATGCCCAATCATTTTTTATTTTTTGAGTCAGGGTCTCACTCTGTCACCCAGGCTGGAGTGCAGTGGCATGATCATAGCTCACTGCAGCCTCGAACACCTGGGCTCAAGCGATCCTCCTGCCTCAGCCTCTCAAGTCATTGGGATTACAAGTGTGAGCCACAGCTCCCAGCCATGTTTTGATAACTTCTTGTACCCTCTTATTCCCATTTCATTCTATTTGAACTTTAGAACTAGTTTGTCCTTAAAAAAAAATTGATCGTATCATTTGGATCACATCAAATGTTTATTTATGGAGAATGGCCTTGTTATGATGTCAATAACAATATTGGATCTTTATATGTAAAGAACAGGAGTAGATGCTTTCCCATTGATTCAGGTTTTCTTTTATGTCTCTGTAATATTTTAAGTTTTCTTCATGTAAAAGTTCTTTTTTTTTTTTTTTTTTTTTTCAGACGGAGCCTCCCTTTGTTGCCAGGCTGGAGTGCAGTGGCACGATCTCAGCTCACTGCAACCTCCGACTCCCTGGTTCAAGTGATTCTCCTGCCTCAGCCTCCCAAGTAGCTGGGATTACAGGCATGCGCCACTGTGCCCAGCCAATTTTTGTATTTTTAGTAGAGACGGGGTTTCACCATATTGGCCAGGCTGGTCTCAAACACCTGACCTCAAGTGATCTGCCTGCCTCAGCCTCCCAAAGTGCTGGGATTACAGGCATGAGCCATCATGCCTGGCCGCCCATTTCGGTTTTTTATTCGTGTTTCACTAGTTGTGCGCTCGTGTCCTCTTTCTGTTCCAGAATCCCACATTCCACGTGGTACTCATGCCTCCTTATATCTGTGAGAGTTTCTCAGCTATTCTTGGTGTTTCATGACCTTGACTGTTTTCAAGGAGTCCTGCTTGGGTATTCTGTAGAAAGTCCCTCAGTTTGGGTTTGTTGGGTGTTTTTCTCATGGTCAGCCTGGGATTATGGTTTTTTAGAAAGAATACCACACAGGTGACTTTTCCTACGCATCATAATCAGGGTGACATGCTATCGACATTTCTTGTCACCTCACGTTTGCCTGGATCACCTAGCCAAGATAATGTTTGCATGTTTGCAGTTTTCTCTACCGTGAAGTTACTTTTCCCCTCTTTATTTTTTATTTTATTTATTTTTTTAAGACAGGGTCTCATTCTGTCCTCCAGGCTGGAGTGCAGAGGCATAAACACAGCTCACTGCAGCCTTGACTTCTGGAGCTCAGTTGATCCTCCCACCTCAGCCTCCCAAGTAGCTGGGACTACAGTCACACACCATCACACCTGGCTAATTTCATTCAATATTTTTTTTATTATTATTTTTAGTAGAGAGGAGGTCTCACTATGTTGCCCAGGCTGGTACTGAACTCCTGGGCTCAAGTGATTCACCAACCTTGGCCTCCCAGAGTGTTGGGATTACAGGCATGAGCCACCGTGCCCGGCCATCCTCCTTTATGTACTCTATTCTTTGGAAGCAAATAACTAAATGTAGCCTACACTTTGGAAAGCGGGGTGGGGGAGTAGCTACATGGAAGTGTTTGGAATTCTTCTTTAAGCAAGACTGGTTTCTTCTCAGATGTATTTTTTTCCCCTGGGAGCAAGCAAGCTGAATGATCACATTTATTCATTTATTTACTCAGTCATTTATATCAGTTTGGACTCATGGATATTTATTTTATAATCTGGGCTTAATCCCATACAACATTATTTACTTTGTTGCTTGAATTGTTGCAGGTTTGGCCACTGGGAGCTCCTTCTGGAAGGTTCCTATGTCCCTGTGACATACCACCATCCTCGTTTTTGAGCACTTCCCTCCTTTCTGCCACCATAAGTGGCTCCAGGATCATCTTGTACTGGTCCTGCGCCAACCCTAGAAACAGTCATCTCTCCAAGGAGCGTGGTTCCTTTCACTGGAAAACCATATTAGAAACCAGGAGCAGCCAGGCTGGGCGCGATGGCTCATGCCGGTAATCCCGGCCCTTTGGGAGGGCGAGGTGGGTGGATCACCTGAGGTCAGGAGTTCGAGACCAGCCTGACCAACAAGGTGAAACCCAGTCTCTATTAAAAATACAAAAATTAGCGGGGCGTGGTGGCAGGCGCCTTGTAGTCCCAGCTACTCAGGAGGCTGAGACAGGAGAATTGCTTCAACCTGGGAGGCCGAGGTTGTAGTGAGCCGAGATCACGCCTCTGCACTCCAGCCTGGGCAACAGAGCGAGACTCCATCTCAAAAAAGAAAAAAAGAAAAAACAGAAACCAAGAGCGGCCAGGCGTGGTGACTCACACCTGTAATCCCAGCACTTTGGGAGGCCCAGGCAGGCTGATTGCTGGAGCCCAGGAGTTTGAGACCAGCAAAACCCTGTTTCTACAAAGAAATGC
Organism: Homo sapiens; assembly: GCF_000001405.40. NCBI lineage: Eukaryota > Metazoa > Chordata > Mammalia > Primates > Hominidae > Homo > Homo sapiens. The sequence continues at coordinate 29,320,976 of NC_000022.11, read as the reverse complement.
AAAAATTTAGCCGGGTGTGGTGGCCTATGCCTGTGGTCCCAGCTACTCAGGGAGGCTAAAGTGGGAGGATTGCTTGAGCCCTGGAGGTCCAGGCTGCAGTGAGCCATGTTTGTGCCTGTGCATTCCAGCCTGGACAACAGAATGAGACCCTGTTTCAAAAATAAATAAATAATAAAAAGGAAAGAAACCAAGAGCTAGATGCTGGATGTATTCACTGCCACTGGGTGTCACTTCTTCCAGGCCCTCTGCTGACAGAGCTAGAAAATATATGTGTGCCTGTTTACCCACGTATACACACATATGCCTCCATTATGTTTTGTATTTGTAGCCATTTACATAGAAAAATGGAAGTTTTATATGTACCAATTTTGTCTCCCCAAACTTAACAAGTTGTCTTGTTTTTCTCTTTGTATCATCTCATTGCATCCCACAGCTCAGTGAAGTCAAGAAAATTAATATTTCTTTCACAGAGAAGGAAGCTGAGAAGCAGAGGTGTTTTTTTGTTTGTTCGTTTTTTGTTTTTTCGAGACAGGGTCTTGCTCTGTCACCCAGGCTGCTGTACAGTGGTGTGATCATGGCTTACTGTAGCCTCGACCTCCAGGGCTCAAGCAATCCTCCCACCTCAGCTTCCTGAGTAGCTGGGACCACAGGTGTGCACCACCACGCCTAGCTAATTTTTTTTTTTTTTTTTTGAGACAGAGTCTTGCTCTGTCGCCCAGGCTGGAGTGCAGTGGTGCGATCTTGGCTCACTGCAACCTCTGCCTCCCGGGTTCACGCCATTCTCCTGCCTCAGCCTCCCGAGTAACTGGGACTACAGGCGCCCACCACCATGCCCGACTAATTTTTTGTATTTTTTAGTAGAGACGTGGTTTCACCATGTTAGCCAGGATGATCTGTATCTCCTGACCTCGTGATCCACCTGCCTCAGCCTCCCGAAGTGCTGGGATTACAGCACCCAGCTAGTTTTTTAATTTTTTTTTTTTTTTTTTTTTGAGACGGAGTCTCGCTCTGTCACCCAGGCTGGAGTGCAGTGGCGCAATCTCGGCTCACTGCAACCTCTGCCTCCCGGGTTCAAGTGACTCTCCTGCCTCAGCCTCCAGAGTAGCTGGGACTACAGGCCCCCGCCACCATGCCTGGCTAATTTTTATATTTTTAATAGAGATGGGGTTTCACCATGTTGGCCAGGCTGGTCTCAAATGCCTGACCTCGTGATTCCCCTGCCTCGGCCTCCCAAAATGCTGGGATTACAGGCGTGAGCCACTGCACCCAGCCAATTTTTAAAATTTTTTCTAGAGTCGGGGTCTCACTGTGTTGCCCAGGCTGGTCTGGAACTCCTGGGCCCAAGCGATCCTCCCGCCTGGGCCTCCCCAAGGTGCTGGAATTACAGGCGTCAGCCACTGCACCCAGCCCAAGGTGCAGAGAATTTAAGTAACTTGCACAGATGACACAGCCCTGGAAGGAGGTTTCAAACCCAAGAAAAGAAACTTTCAGAGGCTTGGAAGCCCAGCCCTGCCCAGCCTCCTTGTGTCCTGATGGCTGGAAGACCAGCCCAGCCCTCAAGAGGCTGCCTGGCTGTGATTAGTGGGAGTCATCATGAGGATGTCCAAGGACCCACTACACCCCAAGCATGTGAGCTGTGGAGGATCCCTCCATTCGTGGGTCCAGGAGGTGAGTTACTGGTGGTGTGGAGCCATGATTCGTGGCCAGGACAGACCATAATTAGTGGTGACTGGTGTGGCCTAGCAAAGGAGTCCAGAACTAACACCCCCTGGGAGCTGGATGCAGTCTTGGGTGCCTGACTTCAGGGATGGGCTGGAATCAGGCCCAGTTGGGAAGAAACACATGGGTGAAGGCCAGGTAGCTGGTGTTAGGAGCCTGTGGGCAATGAACTGGGGAAAGCAGAATTCCCCACCTGGTGCCTGCCCCTGCCCAGCCCTCCCCACTATCTGTGGCTTGATCCTTCAGGGCTCAGTATAAGCCCCTCAACTCCCGCTGGACTGGTGCTTACCCTAGGCCTCCTCATCTCCCCAGGCCTGAACCAGCCCAGAGCTCCTGTCTTCACCCGTCCCTGCCTAGCTGCATGTCTGTCTCTTTCTCCCTGCCACAGAGGGTAGGCAGGACCACCTTGGCCACTGTGTGCCTAGTGCCAGTCCCCTCTGCTGAAGGAGAAGATGCATGCATAGTTGGCAGGTGGTCCCTGGAGCCCTGGATAGGGGCATTCAAGGAGTGCCCAGGAGGCCCCTGGGGAATAGGGATTGGAGGGGGGCAGCAGGCAGGAGGCCTACAGCCTTTCCTTGGGGAAGGAATGAGGGGACTGATGAGAGAACCCTGAAATCCACATCCCAGGCAGACAGGCAGCTTCAGCCCCCCAGCCTGCTGGTCTTTAGGAAGCCTGGCACAGGGCTGCACACTCCCATTAGAGCTCATTTCAGCCCCTGTGGATGGGGGGCTCCACGGGACCTAGAGGCCTCCCCAAGTCCCTCCCGACAGGGGGCTGAGTGGTCACTGGGGGCTGAGCTTCAGTTGAGTACTTCCTGAGAACCCTCTGGGTCCAGATGAAGCCAGGCTTCTCAGCCAGGCTCTGGAGCCCAAGGGCCTGGGTTCCGGCCCCTGTGCTGCCATTTTCCTGCTAGGCAACTGTGGCCCAATCATGGCGTCCCAGGGAGCCTTAGTGAGCATGAGGCTGTGGGTCAGGCTTGGCACATCGCAGGCCCTTGATAAATGGGCACTGCTGCTAGGAACGCTGCTGTGAGAGTCTCCTAGGGAACATGGCACGTTTGCAGGGCTTCATGGGAGCCTCAGGACGTTCCCAGTCCACAGTGCCCCTTCCCCTCGCCATCCAAAAACACATACTGGGAGCCAGAGACGCCTCACACACAGCTCTGTTTGCAGTGTCGGAAGGAGAAGCAAGGAAAGTTTTTCAGAGAAAGAATACCCAGGGGTGGGCGGGAGTGCGCCTAGCATTGAGAACACCTTAAAAAAGACCGTCCTGGCCGGGCGCAGTGGCTCATGCCTGAAACCCCAGCACTTTGGGAGGCTGAGGCGGGTGGATCACCTGAGGTCAGCAGTTCGAGACCAGCCTGACCAATATGGTGAAACCCCGTCTCTACTAAAAAACACAAAAATTAGCCGGGCATGGTGGCATGTGCCTGTAGTCCCAGCTACTCTAGAGGCTGAGACAGGAGAATTGCTTGAACCCAGGAGGTGGAGGTTGCAGTGAGCCAAGATCGCACCACTGCACTCCAGCCTGGGTGACAGACCGAGACTCCATCTCAAAACAAACAAACAAAAGACCGTCCTGGTGTCAGCTTTTCAGACTTCTGGGTTTTGTTGTTGTGTTGCTGAGTGCCTTGTTATTTACTCCTTGCCTTGTTCCCCGAAGGAATTGAAGCAGCTCACAAAACCCAGAAGCCTGAAAAGTCAAAAACCCAGAAGTTTGGCCAGATGTGGTGGCTCACGCCTGTAATCCTCGCACTTTTGGAGGCTGAGGAGGGAGGATTGCTTAAGCCAGGAGTTCAAGACCAGCCTGGGCAACATAGTGAGATTCCACCTCTACAAAAAATAAAAATAAATCAGCTGGATGTCGTAGTACACACCTGCAGTCCCAGCTATTTGAGAGACTGAGGCAAGGAGGATCACTTGAACCCAGGAGGTTGAGGATGCAGTGAGCTAAGATCACACCACTGCACTCCAGCTTGGGTGACAGAGCAAGACCTTGTCTCAAACAACAAAACCCAGAAGTCTGAAAAGTTACAACGTGAAAGAGGACATCAAGTGAAGGGAAAAATCATGGTAGGAAAGAAAGATGAAGCCAGCAGTCCCCACTCACTGAGCTAGAAGACCTGGAACACTAGACAGAGGTGGTTCTGAGCTTCCTAGTGGCTGAGGAGAGGAGTGAAAGCGGACCCCAGCCCCCGATCTAGCATGGGAGGATGAAAGCACAGCCATTGTTCTGGAGACACTTTCTGGTTGTCATTATACAGGCTCCCTGGAGGATGTGCCTCCTCCCCCTTCAGGATTTAGCTCCTCTACTTCCCCTGGGCTGGTGTGGGCACATTGTCTGTGCTTTGACAGTCCCTAGATCCCATGTGTTCTAGAACCTTCTCTCCCAAAGCAGAACTTTTTTTTTTTTTCCTGTTTTCTGTTTTTTAAATCTATCTCAGCCTCCTGACAAGCAATAAGATTTGGAATATTTGTTGAGGGGATAAATAAATGAACTCCTTAGTCAGTGCAGAGATCTGTGCATTGCGGCCATTTCTTGAGCATTGCCGCCATTTCTTGAGCATTGCCATGTGCAGGTCAGAGACGTGGGAGCCCCCACACAGCGGGGAGGAGAGCAGAGGCGGAGGATGGGGGGGCTGGGCTAACCCAGGCTTTCCAAGCTGTGATGGGGCAGGAGCTTCTCCACTAGCTCGAGGGAGGGGGAACTTGGGCTCTGGGCGCCTGTTTTGGAGGTTGCATCCCTTTGAGGGGCGCTACGGGTTGCAACTCACGCAGGAAAGGTGACCTTAGTAGTGATGGAGGTGGAGTGGGCCAATTTCTGGATCTTTATTTAGTCACCTCCAGCCTTGCTGGGACAGGGATCTGGGGCTAAGCTGCTGTGGTCTCGGCACCCTCTGTCCCCACTTCCCCTCGAGGACGGCTGTTTGAATATTGTCTAGTGTGGGCCATTTACCCCCGTGGGCAGGAGGAAGGTAGGAGGGACTTCAAAGGAGACTTCAAGGGCCCCCCCACTGCCCTTCTAACCTTGCAGATTCCCCTCTCGGGCCTGTTTCCTCTTCTCTCAACCAGCGATGCCAGGCTGAGGCTGTAGGTTCGAGAATCACGTAGGTAATGGGCCTGGCACATAGTAGGCTCTCAAGAAAAGGTTGGAGCCTCTTGAGGAGTCTGCCTGTGATGGATGCGGAGCGCAGACCCAGCGCAGTGCGGCGATTCGCCCAAGGTCACACAGCCGCCCCCCCCAATTCGGACCCCGGGCGGCCTGACTCCGGGGGCCGGGGCTTGTCGGGAGCCAGCGTGGGGGCGAGCAGTGTTTGGAAGAGCGGCCGCGGCAGTGGGTGGGAAGGGGCTTCTATTTTGGAGCGGGTGAGAGGAGCGGGACACGCGGAGGAGGTAAGGAAGGGGTAGGCCCTCTCCGGGATCTCTGTCCCCCAGTCACCTTCCTGCGACCCTTCCTGGGAGGGGCGTCCTGGGCGGTGGGGGAAGGTGGGAGGGGCGGGCGGTTACCTCATCGCCGCCTCCGGGAGGCCCCGCTCGCTCGCGCCGGCGGCTGGGGCGGCGACTCCAGGCGCGGAAGCGAGAGAAGGATAGAGGCACAGAGGCTCCGGGAGGCAGCGCTGCCCCCCGCGCCCC